>NC_000007.14:144761410-144912925 GCF_000001405.40 Homo sapiens
CTCATTTAAAACAAACCTAATGCCAATACTAATCACTAGCACAAGATTAGCATAATTATTATGGCAAGTCTATTTAGTCTATTACAAACTAGGTAGAGTGTTTTCATTTTAAAGAAAAGCAAATAGAAATGAACGAGTAGAGTCAATTAACCAACTATTACAAAAATATCAATTCTTAAGAAGCAGGGGCATGGCTAGTTCATTCTAAGCACTTGCGGCTTGGACAGACAGAGCTTCGGACATGCCGTCACAGGAACAGGCTGCACTTAACAGACTCCACCTCTCAATTCTAGCCACTATCATGTCCCTGGCAACCAGCCCAATGCCTGACACAGAAGGGCCTCAACTAGTGTCAGTCAATAACAAATGGAACATAACTAATGCTATAAAACCAAAGACCTTGCTTATACTTTAATTCACGAATGCTACTTGTGCCTCTTTTTAATCTGTAAGACCTGCCTGATATGTCAAATATTTTATGACTTCAGTGTCAATGAAAATAAGTACACTGCCCATACCCTGGGGTGATCTTAAGGATGATAGTAAAAGAATCTGATCATCTAGCCATAATCTAATTAACATGATCACCACTGTGCTGTAAATCATGTGGAAAAAGTGGAGAAAGGCTGTGAATACATGCTAACAATGAGGATATGTGTTAAGCTGAACTCCTAGAAACTTCATACACACTCAATATAACCTTATTCCAATATGTCTGTTTTTCATGATGTTTTGTAGCACAGAGATCTCCACTACTAACTTTGAGAACACTGTTAGCACTGTGACTCCAGTCGAGAATAACTAACCTACAAGAAATAGGCAGAGCCCTTCTAACATACATATCCCTACTTTTGCACTTATCACATATTTCAGGTAGAGAAAGACACTTCCTGAAATAAAGCCTGACTCAAAATATTTTTTAAAAACATGTTAGTAGCTGGGCACGGTGGCTCAAGCCTGTAATCCCAGCACTTTGGGAGGCCGAGGCAGGCAGATCACGAGGTCAGGAGTTCAAGACCAGCCTGACTAACATGGTGAAACCCCATCTCTACTAAAAAATACAAAAATTAGCCAGGCATGGTGGCGTGCGCCTGTAATCTCAGCTACTCAGGAGGCTGAGGCAGGAGAATCACTTGAACCCGGGAGGCAGAGGCTGCAGTGAGCTGAGATCGTGCCACTGTACTCCAGCCTGGGAGACAGAGCAAGACTCCATCTCAAAAAAAAAAAAAAAAAAAAAAGTTAGTAAACCTAAGACCAATAGCAAGTCACAAATAGCAATAACCTCTGATATTACAGAAAAGTTAGATATTAACTCTACTTCTATCTACCCATTTTTCTATTTACCCATCTACCTACCTAAGTGCTTACTTTATCATCAAACCAAACGTAGAAAATGCTGGAACAGGTAGAGAGATATGCTCCAAGACTTCTAACCAAGAAAATCACTAAACTTCATGATGTATAAAAGAGAAAATACATTAAAACCTCCATAATTTTAATCTCTCTTGAACTCCCTCCTTAGGCATTTAAGCTAAATCTCATAACTGACATTGTCAGAGTAGGTAGTTAGGCAGACATGAGCACAGCAGGAGAACTCCCCTCCCCAGGAATGTCAGGGGACCATAGGTGATGGTCAGGCAGTTGTTAAACTGTTTCTCTAAAATAATTTGTGGCAGCCAGCACCAGGGAAAGGCAACCTCCCAATAGATAGAAAACACCTGGAGCTGGTGATCAGCTGCTTCCTTATAAGGTCTCTGGAGTTGGGCAAGTAGGCTCAGCATGCACACTGCAAGAGGCAAAATGGTGGCGTTTAACTGGTATATGATCTTCCTCTGGGAATACTTGACTGGTAAAGGAAAAATGGCTCAAATGAGCATGCACACAACTTTAGTAAACACACTGAGCATGTGGCCCCTCCCAAGTGCTGGCTGGCCACTGGGCCACTGGGCTACTGTAATGCAGACAGCCCACCCTAAAGGAAGAATCAGGGGAGAAGAAACACAAACCCTGAACTATGGCCATGTATAAAACCCCAAATCAAGGTCCAAACAGGGCACTCAAATCTCTCAAGTCACCCGCTTGGCCCTCTTCCAGGTGTACTTTGCTTCCTTTCGCTCCTGCTCTAACACTTTTTAATAAACTCTCACTCCGGCTCTAAAACTTGCCTCAGTCTCTCCCTTTACCTTAAACCTACTTCTGCCCTCAGCTGAATTATATCCCTGAGCAGGCAAGGATGGGGTTGCTGCAGGCCCGTATGGATTCGCTGCTGGTAAAAATATCACTTAACCATTGCAGGAAGAAACTTTAAGATAAACTTTCAACATAGTCTTTCCCCTGAAATGAATCTCAGGAAACATCTACTCAGCAGAAGTCCTTGGCATAAAGTGAAATTGCCAGTTTTATGCAGGAGTCTCATATACTATGCAACACTCTTCAGATTTCTCTGCATTTTGAAGCTTGCAACCATTTTAACAGCCCAGTCTTCATCCCTTGATTTCAGCTCTTCACAAATCTTTGTATCATAGAACAGAAGTTACAGAAAATGTTGAGCGTATTAAAAGGTAATGGGGACAGCACCCCCAAGCCACTTCATACTTGCTAATACCCCAACCCATAATACTGTCTCCTCTCCCAAACTCTCAATGCTGCCCTATCCATTTTCCTAAGCCTTTCCTATGTTAAGATTAACAACTCAAGCTCAATACTTCTCTATTTTGTTTCCTTTACTCGGGAGAAAAGAAACACAAAAGGGGACACTACAAGCATAAAAAGCACAGCTTCTGTTAAGAGAATCACAAAAAACCTACACTTTAGTATTTATCAATAGGCCTGTTTCTTACAATGGTTAAAGGCTCCAGAACACCAAGGATTATCCTAGTATATATGTGAAAGAACTTAACATCTCAATAATCTAAAAAAGACAAATTATTTTGGAAATGAGAATTAACTAGCCATTTCAGTATACCGGATACTTCAGATACCTTAGTTTTTTTTCATGTACAGACTGATCCTTATGGAAAAACTAATGAAATGAGGAACTTCGGTCGGCTCAAAAGTCTACATCATTCACACTGTTTGCAAAATTAAGACCCTCAACTCCCCCAAACGTAACAGACTTCTTTAGATGTAGCTTTGAATATTCAAGGTCTCCAATGGTTTGGATCAACGGTTATTCTATTTCTAATGTTTGCAATAAAACAGTCACTCACACTCTCCCCAAACAATATAAAATATGATACAATAAATTCAATTAGAAAGGATATACCTAACCATTTTAGTATTTTCTAGCAATAGAAGCTATACTAAATTCATTCTTTCATTTATTGTCATTAATAGCAATTATGTGACAGATACTGCACTAGGCACTAGAGACACAGTGACAAAAGACATCACAGCCATTCAAATAACTACCTAATTAGTGGGGTGCTAAGAAAGAAAAGTTAATGGTTAAATAATTTTTATGCTTTGAGAGAAATGTTAGTACAATTATAATGTGAAATTTTAAGTTCACTAACTTACACATAGTTCAATTTAGAATACCAAGAGTTTTCACTATATTAGACAAAAAAGGTTCTTTACACAAAAATCACTTGTGATGATTTATTCCCTCTAGTATCACAACTATCTCAACTACAGATGTGAGCTTATTCACATACGAGGTTTGCATTCTAAGAAACATAAACACAATGTTGAGAATACTAAAGAGTTCTATGATGATAAGAGGGAATCAGGAATGGCAAAAATATGCATCAATGCATCACGAATCAAGTTCTTCTGCCTATCTACCTTGGCCTAAAACTTCCACTGACAACTCAACAAAAATGCTCCTTTGGAAAAACAACAACAACAACAACAACAAAATTCATTGTTTCATGGGAGAAGAACAGAGATTCAAAACAGCAAACGATATTGAACATTATTTTCCAACCTAGAGATAATCCTATAAAAGTTAAAGAATAATATAAACAGTTAATGAAGCCTGTTTCTTACACAAAACCTTCCAATAGTATCAATTCTGTGACACTATCCCATTTTTAACTATATTTTTCAGCACCCCAAGAGGTTCTTACATACTAGCATCATCATCTTTTTTGATTTTGCAAATCTGATCACCCTGCAGATACCTTATTGGATGCTGCAACAGATGAGGCATGTGGATGCTTTTCTGCTACCACTGGTGCCAAAAATAATTTACACTTGAACAAATACTTGTTGAGGATTCAGGCTTAATATCTACACTGTAGTTCTGAAATACAGTATGGTATTCCGTCCTTCGGAGTCCATGCTTTGGAAATCACATTTAAACAGTTTAACAGAGAAGCGATAATAAATTATTCTAATCATTAATAATTGAATCACCTTATTATGAATTCCACTTTTTAGTCAGGTTTCAGGGTACTTAATAGTCATGTTGGTCAGTCACAAATAAAGTAAGAAAGCAAAGAAACAGAAATGCTAATTAAGGTTACCTTTGTTCCAAAGATGACGAAAATAGTTGTCCAAAGGCTGATTAAGAATTACAAGGCAGTACTTCAAATTCCCTAGAGAAAAAAAGAAAGCAAAATAAAATACATAAGTGAACTGAGTCTTTTGTTCCTCTTATATGAGTCTAAAATCATACACTACTAGTCCAGATTTTCAGTATACACAGAACTAAAGTTCAATCACAGTGAATTTCCCATACCTTAATTTTAAAAGGCATCATACATAAACGGGTCCTATTTTACTTAGTGTATCTGTCACATTACCATATTGTTGAGCAATGTATCATAGAAACAACTGGGTAAACTTTTTGTAGGGGGTGAAGAGCACAAATGTTCTTGATATAAATTCTCATCCTTCCAATATATCTACTACTTTGACACAACTATCCTTCTACCTGGCTAGTTTTATATCATCCTGACCTTATTTATCAAATGGTATGGGTCTAGTGGGTGTGTATTTTCACATTCATTCATATTCTTTTTCTCTCTTTCCTTCCACGCTTACCCTATCCTGAACTTTCCAAAGCAAAACCCTGTGTGCTTTCAGAAATCCTACTAGGTCTTCTCATGATTCTCTTATTCCAGGTTTTTAATGACACTCCAAAGACAAAGATGAAGAAAAGTTTACTTTTAAGACAATCATTCCACACCTTTTATAATGTACTTAAAATAGTGCAAAGCAAAGTACAATCAGGTATTGAAAATCTGTCATTCAGTTCAGTCCAAGCACCCTCCATTTCATTTGTGAAAAATTAAATGTTTAAGAAAAATTGTTTTTAAGCAATCTCACTGTTAGAAATGGAACACAATAAGTAAATAAAAAGGGTATGCCATCATCCATAGCAAATATTATTAAGTGCCAATTGTATACCAGGCACTGGGAGTACAAAGAGGGATAAGATTACAAGCTGTGAGATGAGACACTTAAAATAAAGATGATTTATTCAAAATACAATATAACAGAAGCACAGGAGGAATGCCAGATAAATAGATAAATGAGTATAGCGGGAGTTCAAAGGCTAGGAAGCCAATAAAGTCTGGTGTCATCCCAGAGATTTTTGTGAAATGTAGATTTTTGAACTTGATCTTTCAAAGAGAAAGAAGGTGCAAAGAATAAAGGAAGGGGCTTTCTAGACAAGAAAAACAGCCCACGAGAAGCTGCTCTCCTTATCCATTAGGGTTACTCCAATGAACAGTTTCAGAAGCAATGCCCTAATGATGTGATACTAACATCAGTAATTTTAAACATAATGTTTAAGATAACGTAGGAATTTAAGTTGAGGCACCAACTTAAATTCCTCTACAAAAAGAGTGATGCAGTAATGAGTAGTAAACACAATTTATATAATTCGGAATCCATATAGAGATCAGAGCTGAAGGTAAAAGAGTAGGCAAGCCACTGAGATACTGCACAAAGCAGGGGAGGGCAAAGAGAGAAAAGAATAAAGACGAAAGCAAAGACATTGTGTTTTCCTCACCGTAACAGAGCCGAAGGAGGTCAACAGAGAAAATACAGAAGGAAAACCCATAAAGGCAGAAGGATAAGAAGGTATTTCCAAGAACATGCAGCCGATAACACAGCATGCTACAGAAATGTCAAGGAGATTGAACAAGAGGCCGAGGGGAGGGAGATCTCAAAGAAAATCTGAAAATTCATAGAGGGAGACTCAAGATAGTGAAGTGACCAAGGAATTAGTGAACAGTCAGGAGTTGATTAAGAAGGAAGAATAGTCACCTTTCCTTAAAATATAAAAAGTTAACTGTGAGAAATGGAAAAAATAATGCAACAAAGTCGAGATAAAATATTTTCAATATAGAAACAATCTTATATCCTAAATAGGAGAGGGAAGTAAGAGGAAGAAGGGAAATTGTCCATTTGTTCTTTCAACAGGTATTTTCAGAGCACACCTTGTTCAGGCACTGCTCTGAACAGCAGTCAAGAGAAATGGTGTGTCCCCCACCACCACCACCACCTGTAAGGCGTATCTCCTGCTGAGAAAAGAGGGACTGAGACTGAGGCACATGAAGGCGCGTCATGTGCCTCAAAACTGAGGTTGTCTTTTTTTTTTTTTTTTTTTTTTTTTTTTTTTAAAGAGATAGGGTCTCACTCTGCCACCCAGGCCAGAGCACAGTGGTACAATCGTAGCTCACTGCAGTCTCAAACTCCTCGGCACAGGTGATCCTCCCACCTCAGCCTCCTGAGTAGCTGAGACTACAGGTGCACACCACCATGCCCAGCTAATATTTTTATTTTTTGTAAGAAGCAGTTTCCAATGCCTGGCATCAAGCGACCCTCTACCACCCAAAGTGCTGGGACTGCAGGCCTGAGCCACTGGAACTGTCCCTATTTATTTATTAATTTTTAGAGATGGAGTCTTGCTCTGTTGCCCAGGCTGGAGTACAGCGGCACTATCTTGGCTCAGTGCAACCTCCACCTCCCAGGTTCAAGTGATTCTCCTGCCTCAGCCTCCCAAGTAGCTGGGATGACAGGCGCCCACCACCAAGCCTGGCTAATTTTTGTATTTTTAGTAGAGGCAGGGTTTCATCATGTTGGCCAGGCTGGTCTCGAACTCCTGACCTCAGGTGATCCACCCACCTCGGCCTCCCATAGTGCTGGGATTACAGGCATGAGCCACCTGGGATTACAGGTGCCCGGCCTGCACCTACACCTATTTAAAACAAGGTAAAATAAAGTGAGAGGGGAGAATTAGAGTGGAATACGGAACATTTTTAAAACAACTGTATAAAAAACAGACTACAGGACATAACAATCCACATTTTAAAAATAGAAATATAATTGGAATTAACTAAAAGGTAATATGAAATCATATTTATCTATAATTTTAGCACTTTTCCCACCAATTATGAGGAGGAGACATAAGAGTAGGCGTAAACAGGATGGTGACGATAGCTGGTTTTGAGAACTGGCAAAATCACTTGCCAAGAGGTCAACAGAATCCAGGATGTTTATTTGGGCAGCTTTAGAATGAATGATTATGGTGAAGACCAGTAATAGCCTCTTCTTTATTAAGAGGATCCTGAGGGGATTTTTGTTCATTTCACTGGGCCAGGTAAGAAAAAAATAACCTTGTGGCCAAATGTGGTCATAAGGCTAAGTTCTGGCCAAAGAGATGTATATAGCTTTCTTTGTTATATCTGGCAAGTCTCCTTAAAATAAAGGGGGATTTATCTTCTACTCATTTCCTTCCTCCTTCCTGCCATCTGGAAGTAAGAATTGATAGATTCTTTGAATGAAATTCTAGCAGCCACCTTGGATCATAAGAACAAGGGCATCAGAGTAAAGAAGCCTGGGTTGCTGATGACTTCATGAATCTTCCTCCGTTCCAGCACTTCACTACCTGCCTCAAAGCTTATTTTACATGAGTGAAAAATAAACTTCTAAGTCATTTCCTAATCTTGGCCTTAATTCTGGAGAGCACTCCTAGAAGCAATAGGTCCTACCATGACTTCAGGAGCCAGGACTGGAAATAGAGCCCCTGCCACTACTTTATGAGAATTTATTAAAAGGTTGTGAGACTGCAAATCAGTTTCTTCCTCTCCTTTCCTTTCCTTCCCAGTGGTTCTCAGATCACCCAGAGGAATTTATAAGACATGAAAATTTCTGGACCGTATCCTACACCTTTCAAATTACATCCCTTGGCATGAGGCATGGCAATCTACATTTTACAAGCAAGTTATTCTACCACAGGTGGTCCATGGACTAAGCTTTAAGAAATCCTGCTTTGTTATCACCATACCAGTTCCCTAAACCCAGATGGTGCTTGTTTCATAGGCTAAAATCTATCACCTCAGTGGGGGCAGTGAAGCTTAATCGGGCAAGGCAATGCATTTATTATTTCAAGTAACATGTGTCAAGCCCTGACCTAGGTTTTGGGGACACAAAAACGAAAACAAAAAACAAAAAACAAAAACATACTTCTATGCTGTACAAGTCGCTGTTATTTTGGGTTTCTATATTCTAGAGAAAAAAAAAAACCTAATTGTAATGAATGCAGTGATCACAGTCCAGATTGTGTTAAGGTAAAGATGACCTAAACAAGAATCTGAGATGACTCTAAAGAAGAGAAGACAAGCATCAAAATGCACTATTCAAAATGAATGCATTAGCTCATTCATTCATCCCACCTGGACAGAGCATCAGTTTAAGAGATTCAGAGTCTGGCTCATGGTAAATGCTCAATAAGATTTCAACAGCAAGGAGCTAATAATTTGGATAACCCAATGGTCCTTTTCTCTGTAGCAAAGTCTACACTGCCAAAAGAGGCATTCAACAATATTGAATGTAAGTTTACATGAATGATTGAAACTGCTGTTACTGATTATTTGATATATGAACTTGGTATTTTTGTGCTTCACAGAGCCATCTGGTAAGAGAGGAAAGCACTATTATCCACATTACTGCTCCTCTAGACCAATACTTTCATTAAGGTAATATCCGTGAAGGCATTTCATTTTTGAAAAGAATGAAGCAGTATAAAATGTATAGTACAGTTAGGCTTTACTAATGATGTTATTAATAAAAAAGAATTAACCACTTCAGCTATTTCTATACATAACATTTATGGTAGGCTGTTTCTGTATATAAAGTTATTTAGGTAATGGGATCTGATATTCTCTTCTAATCTAGTTTAGTTTTCTAATAAGATCTGACAGTCTTTCCTTTTCTAATCTTGTCTCCCCTGGAAGTCAGTATGGCATTTATTTTACGCTCGCAGCCTTCCTGATTACTAATCCATAGCGGGTTGCAGAAAAAATAGCATACAGAATCACCATGGTTCCTAAATAGTGTATGGGTGTTTCTCAGCCAAACATTCCACCACAATATAGCTCCATATCACTCTCAGATACTGAATTATGGGACAATGCCTCTGGTTCTAAATGCCCCAAAATTCAGAAAACTCTGGGAACTAAGGAAGTAAGAAAAATCAATAGTCTTATTTCAAGTAGTTCTCCAGCTGTCACATTGATTCTGTTCCTGGGATATGCAAAAAGATTTAAGAAAAAAACTAGAAAGAACTTCTTCATTATGTTATAAAAATTATAAAATTTTTTAATCAGGTGTCCTAAGGCAATCTCAAAGACAAATGTAGGCACAGACAGCAGGATTTCAAATGCGATGGTGAAATAACCTTTTCATTATTTATAAAAATGTATGATGCACTCCATTTAAAAGAACAAAGACAGACAGACTAGTCTTAATCCTTCAAATGTTAAGTCAAAAGTCCCTGAATTGCTTTCTCGAATGCGCTTCAATGACAGAAGATGAAAAATCCCTAATCATGGATGTATTGAAACCAAAATGCTCCAAATTGCATGAAAATCCTGAGTTAAGTACAAAAGGCCAAGTTTATAACATGAAAATAAAAATAAGGTCAAATCATCAGCCTTGAGCTAAAAAGGGAAGAGGCCCTTTGAAGGTAAAAAACTAAACGTAACAAGTTCAGATTTTAAGAAAGGGGGAGGGGCATCCCATCTGTCTTTACTGTATGTAGTTCTCCCTCTTCTGTAACCACAACAACAAAATCCTGCCTCTATAGAGAAATGGCTGATTCTATTATTAAGGAAGTATTCAAGATGAGCTTGGAGCACCAGGTAGTTCCGGTAAGAAAGAAAGAACATGATCCCCTAAACAAACAAACAAAAATACTCACAGAGATGAGAGTAGGTCAGAGGGGCACAAGAGCCAACTGAAAGAGGTCCCAATGGCCAAAACTGTTAACAATTTGAGGAAAAAGTAAAGTAGCATTGGATTACAACCCAGAGTATGAAATAAATATCCATCAATCCATATGGATTAATACACAGGTGACAAGAGACAAATCTCCCAGGCAGAATAATTCCAAATAAATTATACAATCCTCCATCCTAAAGGAGAAAGAACATAGCTATAGGCTATACACAGCAGAGAGTGGGCTGCACATAGTAACTTCCTTCCAAAGAGGATTATGAAAAGAGGGAGAAACCTTTACAGTAGAGAAATATAATAAGCACTACACTTCAGGATGGTGATCAAGGTCAACATCAATAGTCATAAATCATGTTTATAGTATGTATCTTTAACATGATGTGATTAAAATGGCACTGTCTCCAGGGTCTTTCTCCCCCAAGTCTATAACCCTAGTCTAATCAGGAGAAAAATATAAGATAAATTCCAATAGAGGCGCATCCTACAATACAACTTACCAATGTTACTCAAAACTGCCAAGGTCAGCAAAAACAAAGAAAGTCTGAAAAACTGCCACTGTCAGAGGAGCCAAGGGGACCTGACAACTAAACGTAATGTGGTATCCTGGAGGGGATGCCTGGACAGTAAAAGGATGCTGGGCAAAAACTAAGGAAATCTGAATAAACTATGGAATAATAAAATGATAATAATGTATCAATATTGGTTCATTAATTATAACAAATGCACCATACTAACGTCCAATGTTAATATAGGGGAAGCTGCTCATGGGGCTTATATAACAACTCTCTGTACTATCTTCTCAACTGTTTCTGTAAATCTAAAGTTATTTTTTTCAGTCTATTAATTTTTTTAAAAAGCTCTGAGGCAAGCAAAAACAGAACTGAACAACTATTCCATCAGGTATTCATTCAGTGATTACTCCATGGGACAAAACTGTCAACCCTTATGACGGAAGCCCAAAAGCATGTTTGGACTTCAGGAAAAAAGGCAAGAAAAAAACCCACTATGCCAGAAGGCAAAGATAATTCTATTCCACCTTTGGAAAACTAAATGACATCCAGATTTTCTTTTAATTAAGAAGTAAAACAAGAACAGAAGAGAAAATCTCAAGAAAACCAATTTCTTTTTATATCCGACTGTGAGAAGGAAAACTATTTGAATTCTATGAGAGAAACCACAGTCACTCTCTAAATCAATGATCTCGAAAACGCAGTCATGCAACTCAGGAGTGAAAGGTTGATGTATTTTTTAATTAAAAAGAAATTAAGACGATATTTAGTATGCAGACAAGCACAAGGACCTCACTTGTCCTTATAGTAGATGGTCACAGGTTATCTACTGCGAGTGAGATATGCTAAGGAAATGCGAGAGCTGCACCACACAGAGATGTCAGCAGCACCTCACACTCTTCTCCTGTATATCAGGATGACCTACAGTTTACCTGTGCCCAGGAAAGCAAAACTACAGATTATTCAGTTTTGCATAATCTTCACAAAATGGGTAAGTGGCTTAAAGATATTCTTTAACACATATTGAAGATAATACAAATTCTGCACAAGCATGCAGAAGCATACAAGTAAATACTGAACTGCTCACTTCTTCCTCCTAGAACTAGCAAGTCTTAACAAGCTTGAAGTAGACTCTAACTAGCTCTGATAAGAACTAAGCTCTGAAGAAAGGGATGGAGGGAGGAAGGGAAATTATAAACACATTTGAACTTCAGACTTACATCAATTATCATAAATGATAAATTTATCCTTCAGTATATAGAGTAGTAGGTCTCAGCCTCTCTGTAATCACAGATTTTTTTTAATGCCAGCTAGCACAGTGGCTATAATCCCAGCACTGTGGGTGGTCAAGGTAGAAGGATTGCTTGAGGACAGGAGTTGAGGACCAGCCTGGGCAACACAACAAGAACCTGTCTCTATAAAAAAAAAGTTTAAAAAACTGGCTTGGCACAGTGGCACATGTCTGTAGTCCTAGCTACTCTGGAGGCTGAGGTGGGAGAATTGCTTGAGCCCAGGAGTTCAAGGTTACACTGAGCTATGATCATGCCACTGCATCCCAGCCTGAACTACAGAGTGACACCCTCTCTCTAAATAAATAAATAAGCAAGCAAGCAAGCCAACTCCTTCCCCAAGAGATCCTTATTCAACTTGCCTGGAGTAGGGCCCATGCATCATGATTTTTTACAAGCACCACAAGAGTCTAACATGTCACCAAAGTTGAGAACCACTGGTATGGTGTCTTATGCTATTAGCTAATGACAGTGTAAAGCCCTCATAACCAGCAATGTTACTTTAAAACATATTAATTTCATCTGTATCTCACTCTTTTTCATTGCTGTTCTCTGAAAATTTTATATATAAATAGCAAACAATAAATTATTTGTGGATTTTCATAAACACAAATGAATTCCCCTTTGAAAATTGATATGGTATGAGATTTGTTTAGGAAAAAAACTGAAGCCCAGTATTGTAAATGAAATTACATTATAATAAAACACAATTTACAATAGAAAAAATATTAATGGCAAGTTATCAAGGGTTTTTATGTTCTGTTTAAAAAATTACTGAAACTGATATAAAATGAATATTAGCCAAAGCACATGCCAGTCATTATAACAGTTATTTTGCCAAAGGACCAAAGATTATTATTACGAATATCTCATCCCTAAAAAGTATTTCAATTAAACCATGAAAATTCTAGAGTACTGAGTTTCGTATTCATATTGCACAAACTTCTATATTTAAGCACAGTATTTTTTTCAAGTGTGCATAGGGAAATCAAAAGTGTCAAGTCAATTCATTCTTTGAGGAAATAAATTGCATGTGGACAAAGCAGAACTATTAAAGTGCTCTGAACAAATATTCCATACCAGAGTCTATTAAAATAATTGAATTACCAATGGACTAAAAAAATTGGTAAGTCACATATAAGAAATTGCTTCAGAGAAAGTAAACAAAGAGTAGAAATAAACAGGTACTTCCTTGAGAAATCTTTCTTGTCCTCTCCCAAGAGTGACCAAATGGTATATGCCAGTTGCACAAGCATAATAACAAACTGTGTCCCCTTCCATTCATTCGCAGACTGCCCTGGCTTGGATAATAAATTATATAATCACTGTATCCTTCATCATCTTCGGGTTTCGCCTCATCCTTCTATTTCAGTCTCCAGCAAAACTTACTTCAATGAGATGTACATCCTACCATATCCCATAAATAATGCTCATCAGGGTCACCAGTGACCTCTTCTGTAAAACTCAATGACTAATTCTCAGTTCTCTTCTTGCCTAATACATCTCGGCAGCATAACAGGGTAGATCACCCCTTGAATCTTTCTTCTTGAATGATCAGGGATGGGGGCGGTGGGGGAGAAAGGAGGGGGACAGGAAATAAAGTAGGGAGAGAGTTGTGTGGTTGCACTTTGTGAACCATCTCCAGTTTTATTAGATTGTTCTTGAGCTATCATGATCAAAACACGATTTAACGATTTGAAGGCAAGACAACTGGCTTTTGCTGCTGTTGCTATTGTCCTTTCTAGTACCCTTCCTGGAACATTTTGTATCATATTGATTTAAGCGTAGTACTCAGGGCTTCAGGACATAGGGCCATCGAGTTTTAGGAGGGAGTGATTTCATTCTGCGGAGAATCACTTTGGGCAAGCAATCCCCCCATCCCTTGACTTGAGGAAAACACTCTCTATTGGTTCTCCTTCTGTGTGACTGACCCACTCCTTCTCAGCCTTGTTTGCTGCTTATTCCTTATCTGCATAGAAAGTACTGAATAAAACTTGTTGAATAAATAGTGAATATCTCTAGCTTCCATATGTAAGAGTGCCCAGTGCCCCAGATGCAGATCTTTGGACCTTTTCTCAATCTATACCCACTCCCTAAGTAATCCCCTTTAGTCTCATGGCTTCAAATGCCGTCTATAATAGTGACTTCCATATGCAAGACACCAACCCGGGGCTTTCCCCCTGAACTCCAGAACTCTATGTCTAACTGCCTATTCAACAATTCCACTTGGAGAACTAACAGACATCTCAAACTCAACAAGTCCAAATCAGATTTCTGAATCTTCTCTCCATGCAAACCTGCTCCATCCACAGTGCTGCCCATCCAAGTACCATATCTACCACCGACGCTCTATTCCCCGTGAACAGTTTTCATCTCTAGACTGTATAAAACAGCCCTCTAATTGGCCTCTCTGCTTCTACACTTGCCTCTCTTATACTCTATTCTCCACACACCAGCCAGATGGATCTTGTTAAAATATAGTCAGAGGAAGTTATTTCCTGGTTCAAAAACCTCCACTGGCTTCCTTTCACAGTAAAAGTCAAATTCCTCACAAATCACCTACAAAGCTCTACATAACCTGGCTTCTCTCTCTCCCTACTTTATCTCCTATGTCCCTCCCTCCTCCCCCACAGGCCCCATCCCTGCGACAGACACACTGCCCTCCTTGCTGCTCTTAAAACATACAGAGCACAATGCCACCTTTTAGACTTACTGTAGATAGCCACATATTCAGTTAATGCCTTACTTTCCGTTTCACACTAATTCCTTGGCTCTCTGCTCAAATGTTAGTTATCATAGTACTTCCCTGAGCAATCTATGTAAGATAGAAACACCTTCGACTCCACACTAGCACTCACTCTTAACCTGATTTGTTTTTTATAATAAATTTATCACCAGTTTGTTCATTCAATCTTTTTTCTAATGTCTGTCTCCCCACACTAGCACATAAATTCCTGGATCCATTACCTAAAACTGTGCCACATACACAGTAAGCACTCAATAAGTATCTGCTGAGCGGCACTTTCAGCAATGACTTTATGTCCACTTACAATAAATCAATTCCATATGCTTTCTCTAAAAATCAAGTGACTCGTCCCCAATTTGAATAAGTACTCTTCCCTTGGTTGCTTGCCCAAAAGGATTCTTTGCAGAATGAAATTACTCCCTCCTAAAACTCAGTGGCCCTTTCCAGGTCCTGAAGCCCTGAGTACTACACTTAAATCAATATGATACAAAATGTTCCAGGAACGGTATTAGAAAGGACAACAGCAACAGCTACAGATGCCAAATGGCTTCCCTTCAAATCGCTAAATCGTGTTTTGATCATGATAGCTCAAGAACAATCTAATGAAACTGGAGATGGTTCAAAATGTGCAACTATACAATTTCAAAGTTTGTAAATATTTTCTTTGAGAATAGATTAAGTATTTTTGAGGTAAATAGATGTTTAGGCTTACTACCTATATAGTGAAAGAAATCCATGTAATATGCCTTGGGCCCTGCAAACCTGAGCATATATCTAGTTATTGTCATCCAACCTTTCAAGTTGAAAGTGTAAAGAGATTCTGAATGATTTAAATCAGTTTCCATCTAAGAGCATTACCTCCCATAATGCAACTGTAATGGGTCTGTCCAAGTTTACTAAACCTAATATTATAAAATCTATGCCACTATAAACAAAATGCCCCAATAAATTCTCACAAGAATCTATATATGTTAGAAATGCATGAGAAAAAGAACACTTTATATTTTACAACTAGTAAGCTTCTGCTCTGTAGGAAGTGGGGGGAAGTGCAAGTGAAACCTGACAAAGTTCTGAGTCTTTCTTGACATAAAAGTAGAAGGCTATAGCAAGAAATGTTTTCTTTCTTTACGCTTACAAAGGTTAGCCATATTCTTGTTGCCAATAAACACATTCTCACTATAACCAAATGAATGAAGTTGAGTTCTTTATCTTGGCACACTGACATCTCTGGATTGCTGGCAGAGTTCAAAGCTGCTCCATCAACTGTCCCTTGCCCTGCAGACATGGGGCACAATAAACTGTGTCTCCTGTCAATCAAGAAAATCAATCACTGCCTAGCAAACTGTAGATGTAATGCCATAACCCTAAGGGTTCATCATAAAGTACTAAAAATTATAGTCCATCACATTAGTTTTGACATGTTGACAGCAGGGCCCACAATAGTCTTTACACTTGAAAAGCCGGTTCAACACACTTCCTGAAGGCAGACTCTAAGTTTGGAATGCGCTTCTAAATCAAACAGAAAGCCTGACTTTTATCCTTAGGCTACTCCTGTAACCTCAACCCATGTCCACCCATATCAAAAAGCACAGAATCTCTTCATGGCAAGCAGTAGAAGAAAGGCCAAGGAGGTTCAACATGGCAGTAAATACTCCCTTTGAAAACCCTTTCTACTTAGGTTTGGTTAGGTTTGATGAGAATTATTTTGGGAAGAGGTGGGCTTTAAAGCTTTGTGGGCTTCACATGTAATAACTGTATTCATCCATTCGCACACTGATATGAAGAAATACCTGAGACTGGGTAATTTACAAAGGAAAGAGGTTTCATTGACTCGCAGTTCCACATGGCTGGGGAGGCCTCAGAAAACTTACAATCATGAAGGAAGGCAACTCTTTACAAGGCAGCAGGAGAGAGAATGAGTGCCAGCAGGAGAGAGAATGAGTGCCAGCAGGAGAGAGAATGAGTGCCAGCAGGGGAGAGAATGAGTGCCAGCAGGAGAAATGCCAGACGCTTATAAAACCATCAGATCTTGTGAGAACTCACTATCACAAGAACAGCATGGGGGAAAACACCCCCATGATTCAGTCACCTCCCAGCAGGTCCCTCCCATGGCATGTGGGAATTATGGGATTACAATTCAAGATGAGATTTGGGTGGGGACACAAAGCCAAATCATATCAACAATACTAAGAATAAACAATTATACTATGTAGATCTTTTCTTTCTTTAATATTCCTTAAAGAGGACTTTGACTCGAGTTATACCAATACATATAATTAAAATAAATACACATGCTCACTTTGACAGCACATATACTAAAAATATAATCAAAATAAGTACAAATTAAGCTAAATTAGACATACTTAAACAACAGTCTGATGTTCCCCGAGACCTACAGTTTAAGAGGAAAAAACATCTGACAATTACTTGGAATTAGAGTTTAAAAAGCACTTTTAATAACCTTCTTTAAAGGACCTTCTTTAAATGATATAGATTACATAACACACTATGTCATCGAAGTACTTCTGAACAGAAGTCATTTTATTCACTCAGTTTTTTAAAAATAAAATGTAAAAATTTAAATGCAAAAGACCTGTGATTCACGAATGACTTCTGATTACACAGACACAATCCACCATATCAAGAGTCAAACCCATACTGAAGGAAATCCTACTAAACCCAAAACAGGCAAACATTTTCATCTCATGGGCACTGTGGGCTTTAAGAGAAATTAAGAGCAACTTCTGCTATCAACAGGAAAAGCTTTGACACCAACTGATGACTTACACTAGGCCACAGATAAGTACTCTGGCAAATGATACCACCTCAGTCTCAGTGTCCCTTAATCAGATCCAGGTCCAGGTGAAGTAAACAGAACAAGTCAGGTATCTCTACAATTGCATTTCTTTTTCACAGAGATTATATGTCACCAAAGCTGGAGTGCAGTGGCACGATCTCGGCTCACTACAGCCTCCACCTCCAAGGTTCAAGCAATTCTCATACCTCAGCCTCCGGAGTAATTGGGATTACAGGTATGTCCCAACACATCCAGCTAATTTTTGTATTTTTAGTAGAGATGGGGTTTCACCATATTGGTCAGGATGGTCTCGAACTCCTGATCTCAAGTGATCCACCCACCTCAACCTCACAAAGTGGTGCTATCAGGTGCGAGCCACCACATCCAGCCTATATAATTGTGTGTGTGTATACATATACATACGCACAAAAAAAAGTTTGCTAACAAAGAGTATTCAAAGGTTTTGTTTTTAATAAAGAATGGAAAGAACACAAAAGCCCATTGATACAGCTGTGCTATGTCCCACATAGTGAAATAGCTATATATTACCTAAACTACAGGAATATGGGAATAAACATGGAACATTCTCCAAGACAAAAATAAGTAGGAAAGGAGGGTTCAAATAACAGATGATACATTACCATTTGTGTAAAAAAAATTTTTTATACGTATATTTTTACACATATATCTTTTCATCCTTAGACTATCCATCAAAAGGGAAAATGTTAAGAGCACAATAGTGAAAAGAAGCATTACTCTGCATATCTTACTCTTGTATCTTATTAATTTTGTACTTTTTTAAAAAATTTATTTATTTATTTTTGAGACGGAGTCTCGCTCTGTTGCCCAGACTGGAGTGCAGCGGTGCAATCTTGGCTCACTGCAACCTCCAGGTTCAAGCGATTTATCCTGCTTCAGCCTCCTGAGTAGATGGGATTATAGGCACGAGTCACCAAGCCCAGCTAATTTTTTATATTTTTAATAGAGACAGGGTTTCACCATGTTAGCTAGGATGGTCTCAATCTCCTGAACTCATGATTGGCCCGCCTTGGCCTCCCAAAGTGCTGGGATTACAGGCATACACCACCACGCCTGGCTATTTTTTTTTTTTTTGTATTTTTAGTAGAGATGGGGCTTCTCCATGTTGGTCAGGCTGGTCTCAAACTCCCGACCTCTGGTGATGTGCCTGCCTCGGCCTCTCAAAGTGCTGGGATTACAGGCATGAGCCACTGCAACTGGCTTTTTTTTTTTTTTTTTTTTTAGAGACAAGGTCTCAATCTGTTGCCCAGGCAAGAGGGTAGTGGTGCAATCATGACTCACAGTAGCCTCAAACTCCTGGACTCAAGTGATCCTCCTGCCTGCCTGTCTGACAAGTACCTGGGACTACAGGAACATACTACCACATCAAGTTAGTTTTCTTGTTGTTGTTGTTGTTTCTGTAGAGACGAGGTCTCTATGTCAGGAGTCCCCAGCTCCCCAGCCGCATCCCAGTACTGGTTCCTGGCCTGTTAGGAACTGGCTGGGCAGCAGGAGGTGAGCAGTAGGCATGCAAGCATTACCACCTGAGCTTGCATAATATAATATACTATATTATATAGTATATAATATAGTATATTATATACTATATAATATAGTATATTATATACTATACTATATAATATATATTATGTATATTATATATAACATATATAATATATATATTTTATATATATAAAATGTATAATATATATTATATATTATATATATTATATATTATATATTATATAATATATAATATATATAATATATATACTATATATAATATATATCATATATATTATATTATATATTATATATATAATATATTATATATAATATATAATATATATAATATATTATATATATAATATATATTATATTTTATATATTATATATATAATATATAATCAATATATATAACATTATATATTATATATTATATATTATATAATATATATTAATTATATCATATTATATATTATATTATATATTAATTATATTATATATATTATATATTATATTATATATGATATATTATATATCATATATATTATATAGTATATGTAATATATTATATAGTATATGTAATATATTATATATTATATATGTAATATGTAATATATGTAATATATTATATATTATATATGTAATATGTAATATATGTAATATATTATATATGTAATATGTAATATATGTAATATATTATATATTATATGTAATATATATTATATATATGTAATGTATATTATATATTATATGTAATGTATATTATATATTATATGTAATTTATATATTATAATATATAAATATATGTGTTATATATTTATTATATAATATATATGTGAATAAGTTATATATATATATATATGTGAAACAAGTAAAATAGAAGAGTTCCTACTGATGGAAAGCGACCTCCCAAGCAATGTATCCCACTCCTAAGAAGTTGCTGGCCAACAATCCTTAAATGTTAGGCTAGAATATAATAAAGGATCACTAAAATGATAGATTGTTTGGGTTTCAGACTACAAGTAAAGCAAATAATTTGTGCAACACTATCTAGCATCCTTTCTTCCCAAAAATTATTAAATAATTCATGCTGATTTGTCTGCGTAGATTGGAAACTTTTAAGAGACTAGAGAAAGGGACTTAGAACCACTAATTCCCTAAACAGCAAAAGGAGATGCAACTCACTCTAAACACCATGTAGGGGTTTTTTCCTCTGCTGAAATAAGTTATAGGGAACTCAGAAAACATTTGTTCTTCAAAGCTTAGGGGAAGATTTTATAAAACAGTGTTATATTTAAGAACTTACTCATATCCATATCCATCCTAATTCCTAATTCTATTCATCTTTTTAAATTACTTCTTGACATACAACAGTTCTCTTCATCAATAGTTACTAGAAATGAATATAGAAAAGGTGTTAACATGTCAAAACCATACCTTAGGAGAGTAGAAATGAAAAGCAGAAAGGGAAAATTAACGTTTTCTATATTTGCCTTTGGATCAGATAAATGTTTATACTAAGTCTGTACTACATTCAAAAGCTTTGTTAAAAAGAAGTGAGGATAGGAAATTTATGAGTAATTACAGAAGATTGAAACAGATTGGAAAATTATTAAAAGGCTGAGGTATACTTCAAAATATTTCCGTTCTGTCAGGGGAAGAAGCAGCAGCACACCAGCCACATATTAGTTAAAGGAAAGCAACGTTGCATTTGCGTTCATTCAGTCACAGATTGATTTGACACTCGTTTATGAAACTTTTAAGAATTTTAACAGCAGGAGCAATGTACTTTTTAAGTCAATAGCTTCAGCACTGAAATTATGAGAACCAAGTATATCAAAATAGTAGTAGTTCAACAAGGAAAATAAAGGGGCCTCTTTCTTGGAAAAAAAATTGAAGATAAAAGATACCAAAATTACTTGCCTCAATTAATTTCAGAATAAAGTTATAAAACTACATCTCTATATATACATAGTGTGTATATAGGTACAACATATATGTCTATATATATATATTGTGTGTGTGTGTGTGTGTGTAGAGAGAGAAAGAAGATTCTCACTCTGTTTGTGCTGCTATAACAGAATACAATAGACTGGGCAATTTATAAAGAAGAGAAATTTATTAGAGTTCTGAAGGCTGAGAAGTCCAAGATCAAAGCGCCAGCATCAATGTCTAGTGAGCGCCTTCTAGGCAAGGCCCTCATGACCCAAGCACCCCATCTCTCAACACTGCCATGTTGGAAGATGAATTTTCCAACACACGGATTTTGGGGGACACATTCCGAACAGAACACATGTACCTAATATAGTTTTGAAACTGTAAGATAATTCAACAATCTAGACATTTATATTGAGTGAGGAAGTACTTCTTAGGCAAACAAGCAAAGCAAAAAATCATCACTGACAGTCTCAGTTTTGTTACTAGACTCAGCTTTTAAAGGCAAGAGCATGTGTTCATTTCTGAATCCCTAGCACCAAGCAAACTGCCTGGCACACAACAGATACTCAGTAACACTCATCAAAAAACTGATCAATGACTGAACAGACAGCACATCCTGGTTTGACAGAGACTGTGTCAGAGACCAAGTGTCCAGCTCCACCTTGGCTCTAGTCTAGCAGGCTGATCCTGATTCTGTGAACCTGTCAGGAACTGTCATAGTTCCCAGATCTTTGTTATGGTTTTTCCTCTGTCTTGAATACCTTTCAGAATAGTACAGTGATTAAGTACACATGAATAAGAATAGTACAGTCATTAGGCACAGTGATTAATACAATGATTGGAATCAGACCTAGCTCAAATCCAAGTTTTCTCGTTTATTAGCTGCCTTACTGGAATATTTGGGAAATTAATTTAACATCTCTGAGCCTACAAAGTGTGGACTATAGTAACAGGAGACTCAGTGAGATTATACTTATAGAGAGCTGTATAGTGCCTAGCAATGTAAGTAAATATTCAACAAATGTAGATTCCTGTCCCTGCCAAAGACCTACCTATCTTTCAAAACCAACAGAAAATACTTTACCCCCCTCCCCTTTCCCTACATCTTTTCTTTTTACCCATTAATCATTTTCACCTGCCAACCATGGTATTCACAATTCCGTCTAATAATAACTATATACATCTCATTTAACAGTTTATAAATTTCAGATATGCTGAAAACATAATTTATTCATCCTATTAGCTTGAAAATTCAACGTAAGACCTGGCACAAAGAAGTTATACAATGAACTGTTTCTAACATAACCTAAAAAAGCCATTCATTGTGCTGTTTCCTGTGTCATGAAAATAGTTACCCATAAAACTAAATGTGTGCACATGCACATAAACTAAACCATCACAATTTCGGAGTGTTCTAAATTTCTTTCCACTTAATCTTTAAAACTTTCTATGTCAATATTGCACAACAGAAGCACAATATTGCTTCTAACGATACTATACTCTGTATGAACAGAAACACAATCTTAAAACAGATGGGCAGATGAACGGACAGATACATAGAGACAGAAAGAACAAGGTATAACACACTTACTATCAGCATCCCTCACTTAATGAAGTATATGATCCAATTCTAAATCAGCTAGAAACTGAATTTTATTTCTTCTCATGATATTCATTATAAGTTAGACAATGAATCTAAAGAAAATGAAACACTCCCACACTTGCAGGGCCAGTTAATAATAAAAAACACTTATAATTGCAAATCCCTGGAAGGTTTCCATCTAAACTGCACTCCTCTACCATTCTTCCACTCACACCCACACCTGGAAATGATCTCGGCCAACAAAAGGGAACATACAAAGTTTTCACACATTATGAGACACATATCCATAATTTTATGAATAAACAATGTGGCTAATCAACTCTCTACTTACAATTCCCTTACTTTATATGTAGATTATTTTTAATATTACAGGAATGGATTATGTAATCTGCTGGGTTCCCAAATCCTTTGTCAGGTCCTCCATCTTTCAGTTGTCTAGCATCTATGAGGACTTTGCTGCTCATTAGTACATCTACCAAAGGCAATGAAGGAAAGGAAAACAAACAGAAACAAATCTTTCATTTTGTTCAAGTGAGTTCTTACATCTTTTTTAGATGTATCATCAATTTAAAAGTGAAAATATTTACACATTTTAACATCTCTGATGCGCATTCTAGAATACATTTAGAATGCATTTTAGAGTCAATGAGATCTTAGCACAGTGTGGGTGTAATTGGCAATTGTTGTTACTTTCTTAGTGGTACATAAAACAATGACGTATCTTATAATTAATGGCATCAAGGATGCAATTTAAACCAGTATTTAAGCTATACTTATTATTTTTATTATTTTACACCAATATCATGAATATTTGTGAGTTGTAATGAGGTTTATAAATAAATCAAAATTTGTGGAATTAAGATACTAGGATAAAAGATATCAAATATTAACAAAGAATAATCAACATGTTCTCTGCTTTTCTAACAAAAGCTAATGTTTATAATATTTAAAAACCATGATTTCCTTATAATGTCATGAAAAAGCAAATGATATTGTTATTAATGCTTTGGATCCAATGAAGAACACAGGCCCAAAAATAGTGTGAAGAACAACAGACTGAAGAAAACACCCAATGTGCCAAACGCAATGAGATCACAGGGAAGGGGAAGCTGTCCCAGGGGAATGGGGAAGGAGTCATAGAAGAGTCATTCTAGCAGTACTGGAGGCTGAGTTACAGTGCCCTATGTGGAGGAGGTAGGATAGTCCCGGAGAAAACACCATATGCAAAGAGTCAAAACGCATGAAAAGTGGCCAATACTGTGAATGGGGAAAAAGAGGTAATGACAGCAGAAAACCTAGGAGAGAGGTGGTGGCCACACAGTAAAATATATTTTAGGCCATTTTAAGTAATGATCACCAGCTCCCTCTCCCCATCAATTTCAGCTGGAAGACTCAAATAAATGATTTTTTTTAAATCTCCATTTTGATATGGCTATTACTGGCCTTATTGCTTAGAGCAATGTCAAGGTGCTACATATAGCCCTAACATTGTCAATGTCTTCTTTAGATTTGACACACTAGAATTAAAATGAAATCACTCTTAACATTATTTTTGCTAATCAACTCATGTTCTCCCACATTATGATTCAGGAGCTAAGGCTTCTAAAATTACAGACTTCTCAAAGAAGCTAAAAAGAACTTGTGAATAAGATTATGAATGAAATCTAAGAAGACACGTTAAATCTGCTCCCAAGTATAAAAGCCAAAGAATTTATCCATTAGCATCTGAATAATAAGTGCCAACACAGCAAGCTGTCATCTGAAACTCTTGGCAGTTCCTTCCTTTGAGCCCTGATGAAGCAGGAGCCATAAGGTATGGATGTGTAAGGAGATAATTAGAATTCTCATTTCCCCCAGGTATTGTCAGCCCCAAGAGAATAACAAGGTGTTATTATTTTATTACACAGTAAGTTCTACTGTTACATAAACTGTATAACTTCTTACACAAGATTATTATGTATCAAGTACTGATCTCATTCCACTAAGAAAGAAGCTCAACTGTGAGCTGAATTTTTATCTCCTATTCACTGGGTATCCCTAGTACCTAACACAGAGAAGCTCAGTAAATATCCAGTAAATACAAGTAAAAAGAAAAAAAAATAGAAATCAAAGTATCATATATGCACTCTTTCATTTAAGCCCTACAAATTATGGGGAAAATCCTATTACTTTTCCTATTTGCCAAAGGAAGAACTAAGGCTTGAGAAGGAAAATAATTGACCAGAGGTCACCAGTGGCATAACAAAGCCAGACTACTTTAAGCCAGTCTCCTGCTTAACCTCTAGGCTGCCCCTTTCCTATCTACGTGGATTTCCTTGATGACTACACTTAATGCAAATCTCAAGAGGTCTGTAGCATTAGGTTTAGAGAAAACTCAGGAAAGGCTAAGTGAAAGATTCTCAGTAACCCATTAGCAAACTGAGTTTCCAGCAGATTAACACACTACCTATGAATCTTTAAAGTAGAAAATAGAAAATTAGAGGAATCTTAAGGGCAGCAGAATATACCACTCCAAAGTATGTCACAATGTTCAATGACTGTTTTGAGCTAAAGGCAATTGAGAAGAAACAGATACACAAAAAGCTCTCCGCTTTCTCCCTATTTGCCTAAAAGCCAGACATAAATTTATAAAGGTGCCCCTCTTCCCTTCTCTATCAGAAAGGACAAGTAAATCACCAGAGATGACTTCTGACCCTTATCAGTCTAGAGAGGGCGCCAGAGAAACCTCTGTCCAAAGTACACTAACTGCCATTACTTTGTTTACCATTAGTCTCCCCTATATTTATACCTCCCCAGAATGTGTACCCCTAAACACTCAAGGTTCTTTTCCATTATCATGTCCCCCTGTAAACATTCATCATTTTTGGGGGAAGATGCTATATAAGCCATAGTTCTAAGCCACCTCTTTTGAGAGTTACTCTTTCCTTGAGTTTTCTCCCTTATAAGATATACACAAGTTAATGAATCTTTTTCTCTCTTGTTAGTCTGTCTTTTGTTACAAAGGTCCCAGCTAAGAACTCAGAAGGGTAGAGGGAAGATTATTTTCCTCCCCTAAGAACCTCAGAGATAAAGGACAATTTTGGTGGAAAATGCGGTTATTGGAGTATCTTAAATTTTTCTGATTACTAATTTGTTTCTATTTCTACCCTATTATTTTCCTTCTATTAATCTTTTAAAAGCATTTCCCAAATTATATCCAATAACTACATTATTTGGATTTTTCAAAGTAATATTTCATTTCATTAAATCTAAACCAGAGGTTACGAGAGAATGTTTCAAGTAATAATTTTCCACACAACTAGGCCATGACTGCCACCTGGCTGACAGTGATTGCAAGGTGCCATCCAATTGTAGGAAGCTTAAAATATGACAGAAAAATGTGTCTCTAAGAATCCATGGAAAAAGAGAAAGAGCAAGAGAGTATCTCAAGAACAGAAGCATCGTGCTTCTTTTTAAGAGCCTTACAAAAAATGGAGTACTAAGTAGAAGCTCAATAAATATCAATTGAAAACAATTATTGGTTTGCTTTGAAATTCTGCATATGTAGATGACTTCCCTTTTAAAAAAATATTTAATCTATAATATCTAAGGTAAAAAATGTTCAACAGAAAAGTATATCTTTTTAATATTTTTCCATATAAACTGGAAAAAACGAGTCATTTCTAAACTCTTAGATGTGTTGACATTTTATGAGAGACTGTATATTTAAATTAAAAAATAAATAAATAAAATGGAAAGAATGCACAGCAGATAAAGATTACTTCACACAAACATATGACTTAGTGCTTGGGAACCCCTACAAATGCCGAAAGGTTTCAATGGAAAACAAAAAAATAATTTTACTTGCATAGGCTATGGAGCAGGCCCTCACTGTTGGTAATTGTAATTACTGTAGTTAATTTACATACTATTATAATTTATATACTATTTAGTTAATTTCATATTATAGTTAATTTATATACTATTCTATACCATGTGCATGACAAATTAATCTTCATGCACACTTTATCAATATAAATCAACAATAAACAAAACACATCAATATAAAGCTTGATGTCCAACTTGATTTTCTTCAAACGTGTGTGTTTGTATTTGCATCAAACAAAAATAAGGTAGAGCTATAAGAACTTTAAGTTGTCAAAACAAAGTAAAAATGGTCTCTAGTAAGAAAGCAAATACTTTAAAAGGCTGATATAGTGCTAAGGTTATACATGCAAGGACTTTCTCCTTTTTCTGTACAACTTTTGACAGAGGGAGGAGCAAAGAGAATAGTAGAATAAGAATCAAGCATATGAGAAAACAAAAAAGTTTGCGGTCAGAAATTTCAGCAAGGGCACTGACTTAAAAAAACTGGAGAATTATCTACAAAAGATTTTGATAAAACTATATATAACACAAGCTCAAATGGATCTGAATAAATTTTGGGGAATATACCATATAAGGAGGAGTAGGATTAGACACCTTGTGATTAGGCTGAATGGCAAGTGACATGTCAATTATGGAACAGGAAGAAAAACTATCCACAGGCCCATCTCTGGATTAAATATACTCTTTCTTAGTACCATGGGGCAGGGCAGGGCAGGGAGAGAAAGCGGAGAAACAGAACTTGATAAACACCTGTTTTAGGGGCCAAAAAGCAATATAAAAGAAATCACAGCCGGGTGCACTGGCTCATGCCTGTAATCCCAGAACTTTGGGAGGCCGAGGCAGGCGGATTACCTGAAGTCGGGAGTTTGAGACCAGCCTGACCAACATGGAAAAACCCCATCTCTACTAAACATACAAAATTAGCCGGGCCTGGTGGTGCATGCCTGTAATCCCAGCTACTTGGGAGGCTGAGGCAGGAGAATCGCTTAAACCCGGAGGGTGGAGGGTGCAGTGAGCTGAGATTGCACCACTGCACTCCAGCCTGGGCAAAAAGAGCGAAATTCTATCTTAAAAAGAAAAGAAAAGAAAAGAAAAGAAATCACAGACCTAGTCCTTATCTTTGGCTACCAAATGGGAAAATCTCACAAGTCCAAATGGACTGAGTCTAACCACGAAATAATATCACGGATTCAGCCATTACAACTCTCTAGAATTTTCTCATTTCTTCTCCATTAAAGAGCAAAGAGTAGACACAGATGTAAAACTGGACCTGAGTTCCAGTTCTGCCAGTAGTTGAACCTCTGCTCTGTAAGAGCTGTATGACAGATCTGTCTGCAGGACTCAACAAATAAGAAACGTTCAGTATACAACTGTAGCTTTTTAAAAGTCAGTCCTCAATTTTCTCATAGACTTCAATTTTCTCATCCATCTGTTTATTCAACATGTTTTAGCATGCTTGGCATTTTTATGAGCTCGGCATAAGGGCACTGAAAATAGAAATATTCTACCTGCCCTCCAACAGCCCAGAGTTTCGTGGGAGACAGACCATTAACACAAGGTTGTGGAAGAGAAATAAAGGCGTAAGAATAAACCTCAAACTGGCATAGCTTCAGCGCCAAAGTCATTTAGCCAATCTATCCCAAAACTGTTCATAAAAATTGGTATTAATCTAATGAGATAAATAACTCCTACCCATTTCTCAATGTATAACTACCACCAACCATTTTTAATAAATTAGAATATCTGCATAAAATTAATTATAAAATTGATTCACTCTGTCTTTATTTAAAAGGATTACAGACAAGGGGAAAATGCCATATACCTGTATCACAGCCAGAATCTTTTTTAGATAATTTCTCAAATACCCCACTGTTAGCAATAAAAATTCATGGGTCTTATAAAATGTATTAATTTCTAATCATGAGGCCTGTATTTGAGATTTTCTTAATGGAAGAATCTGTATGGATATAGAGTTAGCTCCTTTATGACTTAGCTCCTTAATTAGTAGAGGGGAAAGAAGGCTCTTTTGCACTAAGAGGAACCACCTACATGGCTTCAACTTGGTTGTGTTCTCCAGAGAATGTTTCTGAGTTACTGCTTTTTTTTTTATGAGACGAAGTCTTGCTCTTGTCCCCCAGGCTGGAGTGCAATGGCACGATCTCGGCTCACTGCAACTTCTGCCTCCCGGGTTCAAGCGATTCTCCTGCCTCAGCCTCCTGAGTAGCTGGGATTACAGGTACCTGCCACCACACCCGGCTAATTTTTGTATTTTTAGTAGAGACAGGGTTTCACCATGTTGGCCAGGCTGGTCTCAAACTCCTGACCTCAGGTGATCCACCCACCTCGGTCTCCCAAAGTGCTGGGATTACAGGCGTGAGCCACCACGCCCAGCAAGTCACTGATTTCTTAGGAACATTATGAGTAATCTCCTGGAAAAAAAAAAAGTTCATGTACACCAAATGTACATACAAATGTAAGAAGTAACTTTTTCTTTAAGAAATATATATGTATTAGCACCTGCATTGCTATAAAGAAATACCTGAGACTGGGTAATTTATAAAGAAAAGAGGTTTCATTGGCTCAAATTCTACGGCTGTACAGGAAGTATGGTGGCATCTGCTTGGCTTCTAGGGAGGCCTCAGGAAACTTAACAATCGTGGCAGAAGGAGAAGGGAAAGCCAGCACTTTACACGGCCAGAGCAGGAAGAAGTGGCAGGGAAGGTGCCACACACTTTTAAATGACCAGATCTCAGAACTTACTATCAGGAGAACAGCACCAAGGGGGAAATCTGCCCCCATGATCCAGTCACCTCCCACCAGGCTTCACCTTCAACACTGGGGATTACAATTCCACTTGGGATTTCGCCAGGGACACAGATCCAAACCGTATAAATATACTTAGTGCCCATTTTTCCCTCTCAAACAATTCAGGTGTGCCAGAGCAATGCAAGTGCAGGTGTGCGTGTGTGTGTGTACGTGTGTTGAAGGGTGAGGAGGGAGCCACCCAGGCCCACAGTGAGGTGTCAGAGCCAATCAAGGGTGAAGGGGGTGGGGTTGGCTGACCATGGGATGTCAGAGCTCCAGTGGGAGCGGGAAGAAAATGTCACTCTCATTAAGCCATCATGGGGATTAAGTCATATGGACAGTTTAGCGCAATGTCTAGCATAGAGTATGTAAACCCATGGGGTAGGAACTTTTTACCCGTTTTGTTCAACACTGTAGTCTCCGTGCCTAGGTAACTACTACCTTATCAACGTTCAATCATATTTGACAAACTGGTAAGTTTCAGTGTTAACTCTCCACTCAATAATTGGAATTACGATAAGGTAAAAGGAGTTAGAGAAGACCAAAAAGGCACAGTGAGTAAAAAAGGAAAACAGCAGGGACTCCCCCTAGAGCAAAGAGGAGCTGACTTCACAGGGAACTCTTCTATACACTGTTGTGGTGTCTTCTACCTCCGAGTATGTAGTAAGAAGCATTAAATGCCTGTACTTCCCTGTCCCATAAGAGCCGGAGGGGATCACCCAGATGAGGAAGAGTGATATATAAAGTGCTAGTTGAAAATATAGATTGTTTCTCAACCCTTCTCCCTACCTGTGGTCCAAGAGAAGCAAAATAGAATCCCAGGAGAAGGGTAATCACAATCTTGAATAAGGACTTAAAGGCAGCAGGGGTAGTAAAGAGAAGCAACATCTCAATACAACCAACGGCCACATCTGGCCAGTGAAAAAGACTAACAGGAGTTGGAGGCTTACAGTGAATGCTGATCACCTGAATTCAGTTGTTGCTGCTAGAGTCCCAGCTATTCTAGCCACTGCAACTGTAACTGAAACCACTGCACAGGCTGCTGGCACTAAGTCTGAGGTCCTGGGCATTACCAACACCTTGTTTTTCATCCCACAGGTACCTGAGGACCAAAATCCATTTTCATTTACATGCAAGGCCTCCAGGTACTTCCAAACGGGAAGCTACACTCTTTGGGGCTATATGCCAAGAGGGAGTAGAGTCAGGATTTCGTGCCTTGTGACATCTAAAGTTTTCACTACAGAGGAGAGCCCGTTGGTAAACAAGTCAGAAGCCTCACTTTCAACAGTCCTGACTGTGGTGTTACCATACCTCTGCCTGAAAAGGAGGCTGAGAAACTCTCACAGTGTACAAGAATCTTCCCAAGTAAAAGTTCTTGGGACTATGAAGACAGTTTTCTGCTCAATTCCTCTGGCAGTTAAGGAATTCTGCTGTCTTATTAGTCTCTTTGGGTACAGGAAACAGTATGTACCTCACCTTGGCATTCTACTTGGTGCTTTACTTTGGTTAGTTTGCAAACCAGCAACCTTGGAGCATAGCCCAGAGTCCCCATTGGAAACCAACCAGCAAGCTGTGGCACACTCTCAACCTCTGGCACTCCACAGACTCACGACGAGTCTCTACGATGAGTTGGGAATCTAAGTATGGAGTGAAGGGAGATGATCTCCAACCAGCAGCAACCTTTGGGGTTCTGGGCTCATCACCTCCCTGATGTGGCTGCCAGGTACATCCCTTTTAAAAAGCAGCTATGAGCTTGCTGCTTGGCTCTTGTTTAAACTCTCCACCTAACCCACAGAGGCCTTGTGACTCACTTGCCTGATAGTCCCATTGAAGGACTCTATAAATATCAAGGTGGGTAGGACCCAATAAGCCTAGCTTATCAAATAGAAATGATACCTTCAAGGACCAGCTAGCCTACTCCCAGTGGCATCTCAACTTTACCTTAAAAAAGTGGCAGCTATCCCTCTGGGGAAAACTATCCCCCCTTCCCCGCCGGCCCCAACTCTGGCACCTGAAGCAAAGTCATTGGCTCATGCGGCCATGGGTTGCCTGGGCTTGGTTCATTGATGGTTCAGCTAAGTTGAAACTCAATGTTCACTGGACTGCTAAAGCTGTACAATCTCAGTGCTCAACTGTGCAGAAATGAAAATAGCCGTGGTGTTTCTGCACAGGGAGGCAAAGCCCAAAGCCACTCTCACAGCTTTGGCCAATATTTGACTTGATGTACATTATATTTCTACTGACTAAAATTATTCCTAGTGTTCTATCTCAGGTTGGCCTCATTCTGCTGCTTGGACTATTACTGATAATGCCCTTGGTTAAATTTCATATGAGACAAGTTGAACAGTCTGGTCTGAGTCTCTGTCAATCCAATTAATCAGAGTGGCTGACAGAGTGGGGTATTCAGGTTAAAATTCTTCAGAAGCCAGGACAGCACAGGAGTAAGTGCAGATGGTGTTGAGAAGTAGTTCTCTATGGGTCTCTCATGTTTCTGTATGTCTTGTGAGGTACTGCCCATTTTTGTTCCAGATCATCTTTTCAAGGATAGCTTAGAGGACAGAGACAGTGTCAGCTCTGGAGGAAAAGGCAGCCATGCTTACTAAAGATAATGTCTCCTTCCAGGGCATTTACTTAACATTATGAAAAATTCAAGAGTCATAAGCTCTGGGATTGTCTCAGGCAGCCCTAGGTGTCATCTGACTGTCTTCCCATCATCCTATGGGAAGCAAGATCCAGAAAACTGGCCCAAAATGCTGCTGCCACTGCTGTAAGAAATTGTCCTTCATCTCTGACTCAGGAGTCTCATGTCTTCCACCAGTATCCATGAAATTGTGGCTGACTTATTAGTTTGCAAGAGGGGTAAAATCTGAAGCGATTCCCTGTTCTTGACATTTATAGCATCACATATACACACGAGAGTATTTTATCATATTTTTAGGCATAAGAATGAGCTGCAAGTAACCATTTATGAAACCCCTGAAAAAGTTAAGAAAAATCTTTTATTTTTTTTTTTTTAGATGGAGTCTCACTCTGTCACCCAGGCTGGAGTGCAGTGGCACGATCTCAGCTCACTGCAACCTCTGCCTCCCAGGTTCAAGTCATTCTCCTGCCTCAGCCTCCCGAGTAGCTAGGATTACAGGCACGCACCACCGTGCCCAGCTAATTTTTCTATTTTTAGTAGAGATGGGGTTTCACCATGTTGGTCAGGCTGGTCTCAAACTCCTGACCTCATGATCTTCCTGCCTCGGCCTCCCAAAGTGCTGTGATTACAGGCGTGAGCCACCACGCCTGGCGAAAAATCTTAAACTTAATAATGCATCCTCTTCTCCTCTACTCAGCCCTTCCCCCTACCCACAAATATCACCAATATTTGTAAATACCTAATTTTATTATTTATATCATGCTATTTGAACTTTATAAATTTCTAATATTTTATTTTCAGCTATGAAACAAACAAGAGTGAAATTATCATTAAGAGCTGAAGAACATTAGTAAATTACAAAAGACTTATTTCAAACATTTTCATGGACTAAAAAATGCACCGATACCTAAAATATTGTCTCTTGGGAATTTGTAGTTGTTTTAATATGAACTTTTCTCAAAATCTAAAATTCTAGTATATGCTATAAACACTATATCAGCAGAGGATAAATATAATAGCAGTTGCATTTCTGAAATGTTTAAGAATACCATGGTTTCTAGAAATAGTAAACATGTCAGAAGAATACATATTCAGGCTTGCGGGTAGAAAACATATGTCTATGTCAACAAGACTGCTGAAAATGATAGTTGATTTTCTTTCCTTCCATAAGACAATATTAACTATCCCACAAAGCACAGACACTTTTGTTCACATCATAAACTACCAAGTCAGAATATGTGCGTGAACACAGCCATGGAATAATATGTCTTAGTAAATGCCAGTTATCATTGTCATAAATTTCTAACAGTTCATTATAAACAAAACTCAGGAACAAGATTCAAAATTATGTTATTTTAAAGACAGGTCATCATTCATGATTGATTTCTGTACAAAACTGAGGTAGAGGCTATTGTATAGTAGTAACTTTTAAACCCTGTAAGAAAAAACGATTTTCACATTTTTTGAGTTTTTTCAACACAAAGGCAATAAACATATTACTAAAATCCAAGACATTGTATCATTTCATCTGTAAATATTTCAGCATGTATTACCAAAGGAGTTCTTAGAAAAAAAATAGACACACTATTACCACATCAAAAATGAACAATAATTGCTTAATATCAAACATCCAGAATGTTCAAATTTCCTGTCACATACAAAAAAATTTTTATACTTCATTCATTGAAATGAGAATCCAAAGAAGGCCCACACATATGTCTCTTAAATCTCTTTTAATCCAGATTTCTCTTCCATTTCTTTGTGTTGTTTTCCTTGATGTTTATCTGTTGAAGGAACTAGGTTGTTTATCCCACATACTATATTTTGCTGATTTTATCTAATGATATCATTTGATATCTTCCTCTACTCCCTGAATTTCTTATAAGCTAGTAGTTTGTGTCTGTTGTCAATTTTTTGCCTCCAGATATAAATCCATTCTTCCTAGCCAGCTCTGCAAGAGTGGGGTTGAACTTGGAAATATTTCTCCTCTGATGAGCTATCCCAGTACAAGGCTTTGTCACTAGAAGGCAGTGGAAAGACAAGCAGAAGGAAGAGCTTCTCTTTCTGGTTCTAGTGTATTTGTCTCTCTGGGCTTCAGCATGGCATACAGTTCCTTACAGCCGAGCTGAAAAGCCAGCATCAACCAGCACCTTCCCATGGACGTCACACACACACACACACACACACACACACACACACACGGCCAGTGTATCCCTCTTGGGAGCTTCCACAACCAGTGCCAATAGCAGGGCACTTCACCATCACCAGCCTCCCCCAACTCAACCCCATCCCCAGGAGGTTTTGCAATAGAGCACAGGAGCTGCCACCTGCCTTTAGACGACCTCCCTGGAGCCCCCAATGGCTGTGCAGCAGAGTGGCAGTGAGTAGGGATTGATAGGTGGTTTTCCACCGACACCCACCATCAGGTGTCTTTGAAGAAGGGTGCCACCAGGTAAGCACCTCCATTTGAACAAATCCTCTGTCACCCACCCATCCCAGAGAATAGGCTGACTCAGTAAATTCCAAGTCATTGCATCTTCCTGTGAATACCTTCCACAGTACTCCTGAGCATGGGTTTCCAGGCAGCACAGAACCTCGGCCAACTACCCCCAGCAGTAAGCCACAGCTGCACAGCCTCCACCCAGGCTAGGCTCTCAGCCCTGAGAGTGGGTGGTCTCTTCCTTGGACACTTTCTTCCATGCTGGTGGTGGTGACTGCTCTCCATGTATCTGCTATTCCTATACATCTTTGCCTCTTATTAGTTAATCCACCTACTCCACTCCCCTAGTGACCATTCTTTAGATGAAACTTTCCATTTCCAAATAACTGTATGGTTTCTGTCCCTTATTTAGACCATGACACATATTCAGTTAAATCTAAAGGCTTAATCAGACTCAGGCTTATTTCCTAAGTCAGGCTGAGTACTTCTGTCAGGAGGCAAAAGTCTGGTTGTCTATTTTTGTTATGATTATAATCTAGACATCTATCATTCTGTTAGCGGTTAAAATTCTAATTCTAGAGGGAGGGGCCAAGATGGCCGAGTAGAAACAGCTGCGGTGGAAGGCTCCTATCAAGAATGAAAACGATGAGTGAATCCTGCACCGGCAACTGAGGTATCCAGGTTCTCCCATTGGAACTGACTAGACAGTTGGAATGAACTACAGAGCTGGGTGCAGCGACAGCCCACCCAGGAACTGCACAGGGCACAGGGAGCTCCCACCCTTAGCTAAGGAAGGTGGGAAGTGATTGTGCTGCCCCACTTGGGAAACCATGCATTTTCCACGGATCTGTGCAGACGGATCTGTGCAGATTCTCAGTGGCTGCCTAAGACTGCCTAAGACTACCGAGGTCCTGAGGGGAAAGGGGAGGCCACCATCACTGCAGATGCCTGCTGCCTAAGACAACTGAGCTCCTGGGCGGAGGGGAGGCAACAACCATCACTGCAGCTCCAGTCTGCCGTTTTCTCCTGCCGGTGCCAGGGAGACTGGACGGTTTGGACCCACAAGGAATTCCCCACAGTGCAGCACAGCGGGTGTGGCAGATCATGGCCAGACTGCCTCTTCAGGCCAAATTTGGACCCATCACTCCTCACCAGGCAGGGCCTCTCTGCAACAATCTCAGCAACTCCAGCCATGGATATGTGAACAGAACTCTGATATCCTTAGTACAGAGCCTGTCAGGGAAGGGTCAGCCATGATCTCCATGGATCAGCAGACTTAGTCTTTCCCTGCTGGTGCTGAGGAATCTGGGCAGTCCGGACAAGTGGGATTCCCCCAGAGCAGCGCACCCTCTCCACCAAAGGGCAGCCAGAGTGCTTTGTTACACAGGTCCTTGATCCCATGCCTCCTGACTGGGTGAGAACCTCCAACAGCGGTCGCCAGACACTTTGTACAGGAGCATTCCCACTGGCATCAGGTCGGTGCCCCTCTGGGACAGAGATCCCAGAGGAAGGAGAAGGCAGCTATCTTTGCTGTTCTGCAGCCTTCAATAGTGACACCTCCAGGTGCAGATAGGACCCAGGCAAATAGGGTCTGGAGTGGAACTCCAGCAAACCTCAGCAGCCCTACAAAAGAGGGGCATGTTAAAAGAAAAACAAAGAGAAAGCAAAAACAAGAACATCATCACAAAAAAGTCCCCACAAAAACTCCATCCAAAGGTCAGTAGCCTCAAAGACCAAAGGTAGATAAAGTCACAAAGATGAGAAAGAATTAAGGAAAACAATGCTGAAAACTCAAAAAGCCAGAGTGCCTCTTCTCCCACAAATGACTGCAACACCTCTCCAGCAAGGGCACAGAACTGGGCTGAGGCTGAGATGGATGAACTGACAGAGGTAGGCTTCAGAAGGTGGGTAATAACAAACTTCACTGAACTAAAGAAGCATGTTCAAACCCAATGCAAAGAAGCTAAGAATCATGATAAAACACTATTAACCAGAATAAGCCATTCAGGGAGGAACATAAATGACCTGATGGAGCCGAGGAACACAACATGAGAACTCCACAATGCAACCACAAGTATCAATAGCAAAATAGACAAAGTAGAGGAGAAAATTTCAGAGCTTAAAGACTATCTTGCTGAAATAAAGCAGACTAAATTAGAGAAAAAATAATAAATAGGAATGAATAAAAGCTCCGAGAACTACGGGATTATGTAAAAAGACCAATCCTCAGTGGTTCACGCCTGTAATCGCAGCACTTTGGGAGGCCAAGGCAGGTCGACCACAAGGTCAAGAGATCAAGACCATCCTGGCCAACATGGTGAAACCCCATCTCTACTAAAAATACAAAAAATTAGCCGGGCGTGGTGGTGGGTGCCTGTAGTCCCAGCTACTACTCAGGAGGCTGAAGCAGGAGAATCACTTGAACCCAGGAGGTGGAGGTTGCAGTGAGCCAAGATTGCACCGCTGCACTCCAGCCTGGTGACAGACCAAGACTCCGTCTCAAAAAAAAAAAAAAAAAAAAAAAGACCAATCCTACAACTGCTTGGGGTACCTGAAAAAGACAGGGGGAACGGGACCAAATTGGAAAGCATACTTCAGGATATCATTGAGGAGAACTTCCCCAACCTAGCAAGACAGACCAACATCCAAATTCAGGATATCCAGAGAACCCCAATAAGATACTCCATGAGAAGATCAACCCCTAACACATAATCATCAGATTCTCCAAGGCCAAAATGAAGGAAAAAGTGCTAAGGGCAGCCAGAGAGAATGGCTAGGTCACCTACAAAGGGAAGCCCATCAGACTAATAGTGGACCTCTCAGCAGAAACCCTACAAGCCAGAAGAGATTGGGGGCCAATATTCAACATTCTTAAACAAAAGAATTTCCAATCCAGAATTTCACATCTGGCCAAACTAAGCTTCATAAGTGAATGAGAAATAAAACCCTTTTCAGACAAGCAAATGCTGAGGAAATCCATCTCCACCAGGCCTGTCTTGCAAGAGCTCCTGAAGGAAGATATTAAATATGCAAAGGAGAAACCATTACCAGCCACTACAAAAACACACTGAAGTACAAAGACCAATGACACTGTGAAACAACTACCTCAACAAGTCTGCAAAATAACCAGCTAGCATCATGATGATGGGATCAAATTCAAATATAACACTGTTAACCTTAAACGTAAGTGGGCTAAATCCCCCAATTAAAAGACAGAGAATGGCAAGTTGGATAATGAATCAAGACCCATTGGTATGCTGCCTTCAAGAGAGACATTTACCAAGCAAATGGAAACAAGAAAAAAGCAGAAGTCGCAATAGTACTTTCTGACAAAAGGCACTTTAAACCAAAAAAGACTTAAAAAGACAATGAAGGGCACTACATAATGGTACAGGGTTCAATTCAACAAGAGCTAACTATCCTAAATATATATGCACCCAATACAGGAGGACCAGGATTCATAAAGTAAACTCTTAGAGACCTACAAAGAGACTTCGACACAATAATAGTGGGAGACTTTAACACCCCACTGACAATATTAGACAGATCATCCAAACAGAAAGTTAACAAAAATATTCAGGACCTGTACTCAGCTCTGGATCAAGTGAACCTGATAGACATCTACAGAACTCTCAACCCAAAAAAACAGAATATACATTCTCCTCATTGCCACATGGCATTTACTCTAAAATTGATCACATAACCGGTAGTAAAACACTCCTCGGCAAATGCAAAAGAACTGAAACAATAACAGTCTCTCAGATCACAATGCAATCAAATTAGAACTCAAGATTAAGAAACTCACTCAAAACCACACAACTACATGGAAAGCGAACAACTTGCTCCTGATTGGCTCCTGGGTAAATAATGAAATTATGGCAGAAATCAAGAAGTTCTTAGACACCAATGAGAACAAAGAGACAAATGTGCCAGATTCTCTGGGATGCAGCCAAAACGGTGTTAAGAGAGAAATTTATAGCACTAAATGCTGACATCAAAAAGCTAGAAAGATCTCAAGTCAACATCCTATCATCATAACAAAAAGAACTAGAGAACCAAGAGCAAACAAACCCCACAGCTACCAGAAGACAAGAAATAACCAACATCAGAGCAGAATTGAATGAGTCAGAGACATGAAAATCCTTCAAAAAAATCAACAAATCAGCCGGGTGCTGTGGCTCATGCCTGTAATCCCAGCACTTTGGGAGTCTGAGGCGGGCAGATTACTTGAGGTCACGAGTTTGAGACCAGCCTGGCCAACATGGTGAAACCCCATCTCTACAAAAATATAAAAATTAGCCAGGCATGATGGTGCATGCCTGTAATCCTGGCTGCTTGGGAGGCTGAGGCAGAAGAATCGCTTGAACCCAAGAGGCAGAGGTTGCAGTGAGCTGAGATCGTGCCACTGCACTCCAGCCTGGGCGACAGAGCGAGACACTGTCTCAAAAGAAAAAAAAAAACACAAATCCAGAAGCTGGTTTTTTGAAAAAATTAATATAAAATAGGACTATTTTATTAATAGTCTAGCTAGACTAATAAGAAAAGAGAGAGGAATCAAGTAGAGACAATAAAACATGATACAGGATAAAGCCACTATCGCCACTGACCCCACAGAAATACAAACAACCATCAGAAAATACTATAAACACCTCTATGCAAACAAACTAGAAAATATAGAAGAAATGGATAAATTCCTAAACATATACACCCTCCCAAGACTGAACCAGGAAGAAGTTGAATCCCTGAATAGTCCAATATCAGGTTCTGAAATTGAGGCTGTAATAAATAGCATACCAACCAAAAATGCCCAGAAACAGATATATTTACAGCTAAAAATCTGCCGGAGGTACAAAGAGGGGCTGGTACAATTTCTTCTGAAATTATTCCAAACAATTGAAAAGGCGGGACTCCTCCCTAATTCATTTTATGAGGCCAGCAACATCCTGCTACCAAAACCTGGCAAAGATACAACCAACAAAAGAAAGCTTCATGCCAATATCCCTGATGAATATCGATGCAAAAATCCTCAACAAAATACTGGCAAACCAAATCTAGCAGCACATCAAAAAGCTTATCAACCACAATCAAGTCAGCTTCATCCCCAGGATACAAGGCTGGTTAAACATATGCAAATCAGTAAATGCAATTCATTACATAAACAGAACTAAAGACAAAAGCCACACAATTATCTCAATAGATGCAGAAAAGGCCTAAGATAAAATTAAACTTCCTTCATGTTAAAAAACTCTCAATAAACTAGGTATTGATGGAACATAGCTCAAAATAGTAAGAGCCATTTATGACAAACCCACAGCTAATATCATACTAAATGGGCAAAAGCTGGAAGCATTCCCCTTGAAAACTGTCATAAGACAAGGATACCCTCTCTCACCACTCCTATTCAACAGAGTATTGGAACTTCTAGCCAGGGCAATCAGGCAAGAGAAAGAAATAAAGAGTATTCAAGACAAAGAGATGACGTCAAACTGTCTCTGCAGATGACATGTTCCTGTATCTAGAAAACCCCATCGACCCATCCTGAAAGCTTCTTGAGCTGATAAGCAACTTCAGCAAAGTCTCAGGATACAAAATCAATGTGCAAAAATCACAGGCATTCCTATACGCTAATAGTAGCCAAATCATGAATGAACTCCCATTCACAATTTCTACAAAGAGAATAAAATACCCAGGAATACAGCTAGCAAGGGAAGTGAAGGACCTCTTCAAGGAGAACTACAAACCACTGCTTGAGGAAATAAGAGAGGACACAAACAGATGGAAAAACATTCCATGCTCATGGATAAAAAGAGTCAATACTGTGAAAATGGCCATTCTGCCCAAAGTATCTATAGATTCAATGCTATGCCCATTAAACTAGCATTGACATTCTTCACAGAATTAGAAAAAACCTACTTTAGAATTCACGTGGAACCAAAAAAGAGCTCATACAACCAAGATAATCCTAAACAAAAAGAACAAAGCTGGAGGCATCATGCTACCCAGCTTCAAACAATAATACAAGGCTACAGTAACAAAAACAGCATGACACTGGTACAAAAACAGAAACATAGACCAATGGAACAGAATAGAGATCTCAGAAATAAGACTGTACATCTACAACCATCTGATCTTTGACAAACCTGACAAAAACAAGCAATGGGGAAAGAATCCCCCATTTAATAAATGATGCTGGCATAACTGGCTAGCCATATGCAGAAAATTGAAACTGGACCCTGTTCTTATACTTTATACAAAAATTAACTCAAGATAGATTAAAGACTTAAATGTAAAAACCAAAACTATAAAAACCCTAGAAGAAAATCTAGGCAATACCATTCACGACACATGCATGGGCAAAGATTTCATGATGAAAATGTCAAAAGAAATTGCAACAAGAGCAAAATTTGACAAATGGGATCTAATTAAACTAAAGAGCTGCACAGCAAAAGAAACTATCATCAGAGTGAACAGACAACCTACAGAATGGGAGAAAATTCTTACACTCTATCCATCTCACAAAGGTCTAATATCCAGAATCTACAAGGAACTTAAATTTACAAGAATAAAACAAACAACCCCATTAAAAAGTGGGCAAAGAAGATGAACAGACTACTCAGAAAAAGGCATTTATGCGGCCAAAAAATGTATGGAAAAAAGCTCAGCATCACTGATCATTAGAGAAATGCAAATCAAAACCACAGCGAGATCCATCTCGCACCAGTCAAAATGCATTATTAAAAAGTCAAGAAACAACAAATTTTGGCTAGGCTGTGAATAAATAGGAATACTTTTACACTACTGGTGGGAATGTAAATTAGTTCAACTATTGTGGAAGACAGTGTGGCAATTCCTCGAAGACCTAAAACCAGAAATACTATTTGGCTCAGCAATCCTATTACTGGGTATAAACCCAAAGGAATATAAATCATTCTGTTATGAAGATAAATGCACACACATGTTCACTGCAGCACTATTCACAATAGCAGACATAGAATCAACCCAAATGCCTGTCAAGAATAGAGTGGATAAAGAAAATGTAGCACATATACACCATGGAATACTATGCAGTCACAAAAAGGAATGAGATCATGTCGTTTGCAGAGACATGGATGGAGCTGGAAACCACTATCCTCAGCAAAGTAATGCAGGAACAGAAAACCAAACACTGCATGTTCTCACTTATAAGTAGGAGTTGAACAATGAGAACACATGGACACAAGCAGGGGCCTGTCAGGGGTGGTGGCAAGGGGAGGTAGAGCATCGGGAAAAATAGCTAATGCAGGCTGGGCTTAATACCTAGGTGATGGGTTGACAGGTGCAGCAAATCACCATGGCACATGTTTTCTTATGTAACAAACCTGCACATCCTGCACATGTATCCCAGAACTTGAAAAGAAATTCGAATGCTACTTTTACTCATTAATTCTAACATTACTCACAAGGGGCTAGTGAGATTCGAATTCTATCATGAGTGACTACCACATTTATTACCTGGAGTATGTGGGTAAGGAAAAACTGCCTCATAATAATCATTTGTTTACCCTGATGTTTAGTTTATACAAGAATGGCAAGATAAACACTTGGCTTCTTTTTCCTTATCTATCAGTCATTCTGGGAGGAATTTCTTTGTGTGTGTGTTTTTTAAAGCCATAGAGAAAAGACATTGTAGTAAGAAATGACAATCAGACTGACAATTTACTCTGCAGCAACATGGGAATCCAGATGACAGTGGAATACTATAAAGTGTCCATACTTTGATACCTAAAATGAACAAAACAAATATATTTACAGACAATGAAAGCATTTTTTGACTGAATAAACCTCTTACAAAGAATATTCTAAAATGTGTATACTTCATGGATAAGAAAAAAAATTCTAGAAGAAAGGTCTGAAAAACAAAGTATAGAGAGGAAAAAAGTAAACATGAATAAATCAAATAAGATAAATCTAAATAAAACACTTATAAAATAATTACAGTGATAGCTATAGTAACCAAAGTGGTAACTAAGAGTAGCCTAAGTCTGAAAAGAAGATATAAGAGTCAAAGCATTCTGAGATCCCATACTTTGTTTAGAAGAAAGGTAAATATAGTGATTGATATGGTTTGGCTCTATGTCCCCATTCAGATCTCACCTCAAATTGTAATCCCCACAATCTCCACGTGTCGAGGGCAGGACCAGGTAAAGGGAGAATTGGATCATGTGGGCAGTTTCTCCCATGCTGTACTTTTTATAGTAGTGAGTTCTCATGAGATCTGATGTTGTATAAGCATCTGGCATTTCCCGTTTGCACTCACTCCATCCTGCCACGCTGTGAAGAAGGTACCTGCTTCTTTACCTTCCACCATCATTGTAAGTTTCCTGAGGCCTCCCCAACAATGCAGAAGTGTGAGTCAATTAAACCTCTTTCCTTTATAAATTACCCAGTCTCAGGTATTTCTTCATAGCTGTGTGAGAACACACTAATACAGTGATTAACTTTATACTTCAAATCAAACATCCAAGCAAGAAATTTTATAAGGCTGAAAAGAATGTACACATGCAATATGTAACTTTTCAAACAGTAAAGTTTGAAAAAGTAAAGAAAAAGAAAATGAAACAAGAAAATAACAAATAAAATATAACAACAAAGTGCCTAGAAAGGAAAGTTGAGAGAGGAGGTTTTAAAAAAAAAAAAAAAATCACACTTCACACCAAAGGACATTACATTACAGTAAAAATTGTAAACTGGACTTTGTCAAAATAAAAACTTTTGTTCTGCAAAATATCCTGTTAAGGAGGATAAAAACACAGGCATGGACTGGGAGAAAATATTTGAAAACCACATACCTGACAAAAGACTTGCACCTAGAATATAGAAAAAACTCTCAAAATTCAACAGTAAAAAAATGAATAATCCAATTAGAAATGCACAAAAACCATAAAAAACATTTCAGCAGAGAATACATGGATGGCAAATAAACATGAAAAGATGTTCTTCATTAGCTACTAGGGTAATGCAAATTAAACCACAATATGTTATCATTATAGACCTATCAAAAAGGTTTGAATAAAAATAGTAATGATGGCCAGGTGCAGTGGCTCACACCTGTAATCCCAGCACTTTGGGAGTCCGAGGCGGGTGGATCACCTGAGATCAGAAGTTCAAGACCAGCCTGACCAACATGGAGAAACCCTGTCTCTACTAAAAATACAAAATTCGCCGGGCGTGGTGGTGCATGCCTATAATCCCAGCTACTCAGGAGCCTAAGGCAGGAAAATTGCTTGAACCCGGGAGGCAGAGGTTGTGGTGAGCCGAGATCGCACCACTGCACTCCAGCCTGGGCAACAAAAGCAAAACTGTCTCAAAAAAAAAAAAAAAAAAAAACCAGTGATGATATCAAGTGATTCAGAGGGTAAAGAAAAACTGCATCACTCATACATCAGTGAGTGAGGGTGAGAATAGCCACTCTGGAAATCAGTATGGCAGTTTCTTAAAAAAACTAAACATGCATCTACCATATAACCCAGCAATTGCACTCCTGGGCATTTATCTCAGAGAAACCGGTATGTGAATGTTGACAGCAGCTTTACTCGTGACACCCAAAAACTGGAAATGACCCAAATCCATCCATTAAAGGGCCAATGGTTAAACAAATAATAGTGCATTTCTACCATGGAACACTGCTCAAGAATAAAAGGAATGAACTATTGATAGGCTGAACAACTTGAATGGATACCAAGAGAATTATGCTGAATGAATAAAGATAATCTCAAAAGGTTACAAACAGTTGGTTCCATTTATATAAAATTCTTAAAATAAAATTATAAAGATAGAGAACGGATAAGAGGATGTCAGGGATTAGGGATGGAGGGGGAAAAGAGAAGAGTATGTGAAGCTATAAAGGGGTAACATAAGGGAGTCTGGTGGATGTATCTTGATGAGGTACTTACACAAATATACACAAGATAAAACTGCATAGAATTAAACACACACACAAACGCGCACGCACCCCAAATGTATGCATGTAAAACGGGAAATCTGAATAAGCTATGTGAATAGTACCAATGTCAATTTCCTACTTTTGCAATTGTACTGTATTTACACAAGATGTTGCCATCATGGTAAACTGGGTGGGGCATACAAGAGACCTCTCTGTATATTTTCTCTGCAACTTCCTGTAAATCTGTACTTATTTTAAAATAAAAAGATAAAAAACACATCAACACTGCTATGGTCTGAATGAATCTTCCCTAAAATTACTATGTTGAAACCTAATCATCAGCATGATAGTATTAGCAGGTGGGGCCTTTGCAGAGGTGATTAAGTCATAAGGGCAGAGCCCTCAAAAATGGAATTAGTTCACTTATAAAATAGGCCCAAGGGAGTTTGTTCGCACTTTCCATCCTTTGAAAACACAGCTGGAAAGCACCATCTGTGAAGCAGAAAGTAGGTCTTCACCAAACATCAAATTTGCCAACACCTTGATCTTGGACTTCCCAGACTCCAGAACTGTGAGAAAGAAAGTTTTGTCATTTACAAGCTACCCAGTTTATGGAGTTTGGTTACGGCAGCCAGAAGAGACTAACAGATACAAACTTTTATGTTAAATAAAATCAGAGAAATGAATATAAATTTACCAGTAATCACGGTCAAAAAACAAAGCAAAATCTCCAGTTTAAAGACAGATTATCAGACTGAATGTAAAATTAAAATCCAGCTATATGTTGTTTACAAGACAGATAGCTAAAATATAAGGACCCAATAAATCTAAAAGCATAAAATTAGAAACAAATATGTAATAGGAAAACACTAACCAAAAGATAACTACTACAGTTACACAAAATAACAAACCTCATCACAACTAGCTTGTTATAGTTACTTATTTCAGGATATACATTGCCAACTTGGCACCATCCTTCAAAAACAGGGTATTATAGAAATACGTGCCAAATAGTGGTGACATTTCTGTAACACTTACAATGCCTAAGAGGGTTTGGGACCAACAGTAAATATTCAAATACTGTTGACTGATTGACTGAATGGTAAGTATTGCCAGAATTTTCAAATAATGTAAACCTCCAGGCAATGGCTGTGGGGGTCTGTTTGCTAAAACATTTATCACAGGCCTCCACACCAGGGCTCAAAGTGTATAAGGTAAAACTTAGATACCAGTATATCCCTTATCCTCAAAAGCATATAAACAGAGAGAGTATTTGATTCTCATTTAAACAAACAAGTTAATTTAAAAGAAGATATATTTGTCACACACAAAATATTTAAAACCTCACATTGAAATAAATCTTTCTCTAAAATTTGATAGTGTCTTTCTAAGGGCTGTTTTCTAGTTAGCACAGGTGTATCCAATAAGCAGTTAAATATTAAAACAATGCTGTATGAGTCTGTTTTCATGCTGCTGATAAAGACATATACAAGACTGGGTAATTTACAAAGAAAAATGGTTTAATGAACTCACAGTTCCACATGGCTGGGGAGGCCTCACTATCATGGTGGAAGGCAAGGAGGAACAAAGTCACGTCTCACATGGTGGCAGGCAAGAGGGCTTGTGCAGGAGAACTCCCCTTTATAAAACCATCAGATCTTGTGAGATTTATTCACTACCACAAGAACAGTATGGGGGAACTGCCACCATGATTCAATTACCTCCCACTGTGTCCCTCCCATGACACGTGGGAATTATGGGAGCTATAATTCTAGATGAGATTTGGGTGGAGACACAGCCAAATTATATCAATTGCTATCCTAATCCAATTAACCTTCACTCAATTTTCCTAGTAATTATTAAATCAGATAATAGTTAATTAATGTCCTATTTTACTCATTTTGTTACTCATTTTCATGAAATATTAAAATGCTACTAAAACCATCCTTATTTTAACACTTTGTCATCCTAAATGATACAATATTCAAAATACCATTTTAAAACAAATTTTACAGATTATATTCACTCTGTAAGTATACATTATCTTGATTCAAGTACTCAACAATTTTCTTACGGCAATAATAAAATTCACTTGCAAATAAGTAAAAAACACAAAATTCAACACTTGAATTTTATATTTTTGTCAAGAATGGAATTATAGTCTTTAAAAGGCATCAATAAAAAGGATAACTAATTATTTTAAGAACAAGTCTAAGAAACTACAAAACCCACAAAGCACATATAAAAATACTAGTTTGAGAATAAAGTTTTCTTAGTTGACCACATCTCCCCCCAAGAAAATAAAACTCCTAAACTGATTAGGTATTCTGTAAATTTAAAATGTATTCATGTGGTAATTACTGTGTAATCCATTAATTAAAACTGGTTAGGCATAGTGATTTTATAACCTGTTACATGCAGATGTGACATCTCTTCTCCAACCCTACCTAACCACTAACATAGCATAATTTTATAATCACCGTAGAGTAAGAAGCTAAATTTGAGTACTCTAACTCCATGGATTTAAAAATAGGGGTAACAGACTACATTTGGTTCTGGTAAAGATCAAATTTTGGTATCATCTCTACCTCAAACCTCAGTGGCAGAAATCTGGTCTTCTATTTCCTTTCTATCTCTCCTACAGCATTGTCTATAGGGCTTTGCACTCAGCAGGTGATCAACAAATGCTTCTTAACTAAAACAAGTAAGATCCAAGCCACAATATTCCATGAAGCCACCACTTTCATAAAAGATTTCATTTTTTTATATACAATAAGCAACATATCATAAAAGATTTCTATTAGCGCCATGGTTCACTGAAACTCAATTACAATGAACTATTTTACAAAAATGTCTCATTTAAAACAGAAGATCTCTCTTTTCATCAGTAAAACAGCACTTTTTGCATACTGCAGTTTTAATTCTCTAGTACTTCATAATTTTTCTAGGGTGTTGGCATAGCAAATAAATTTTTACAGTAAATGACCACAAAATGTCACATTTCCTCAGAATATAAATACTTCCAATTATAAAAAAAAGCTAATAAATCCTCAGTTTAGAAGGGGCATTCAATTTAAGGTAAATATATAGAAATTGTAAGCCTTTTATTGCTTCCTCCTAAAAGCAAGAGAATGCTCATGCAGTGTTTTAATTATGATACCGAGGACTTGTATTTCTTTCCATTCTGCTTTATTCACCCAGTTTTTGATGGCTAGCCAGTTTGATCACAGATCTATGAAGAAGCCCCCAAGAAGTCTCTGTGTCACTTAAACCGCTTCTGCACAACTAAAAAGAGGCCTTTACTGGAGAGTACGAGTCCACCCAGAATCAGAAGAAAAGTGCCAGTTAATATCACAGCAAGTCAGATCTGTGCCTAACTTACCCAGATTACTTGGACCAAATACTTGGGAGGATACTGACTGAAACATCTTTTTTCCAATTTTGACAACAGCAAAGTTATGGAACAAAGAGACATTATAAATACATCAGAATTATATGCAGATGAACTTAAAAGTTGGAAATTTTTTAAAAAGAATTACACACAGAGATTAAATTTCATGGAGATGGATAAAAATAACCAACCTCAAACCAAATGAAAACAATGTCAAAAAGTTGCTGATGTGCAACTCAGGGACAGAGAGATGGCCAAATGTGAATCAGCTGCAACATGGGTGCACACAGGGTCTATAGTCTGCTACTCTCTTCTAGACTATTTATTACACATCTTCTCTCACCTCAAACCTCTTTTCCCCATTCTCACCCACCTTATAACCTTATACTCCTCCTCAGTGATAAAACGGAACCAATCAGAAAACTTCCATAAATTCATACAAACACACATATCCAAGTACCATCATCTCTCTGCTCATACACCCTGTGCCCCTTCCTACACAAATAAATAATGTATGCTCCTAACGCCCAACTCATCCTTTTGTGCCTTGGACCCCATCCACTTGCACTAGGAACTGACAATAATTTCCGTAGTTCTTCCCTCTTTTCTCCTACATTATAAATTAATTCCCTTTCTGCTGGAGCACATATAATGCTGTTAATTCTCCATGCTTTAAAACACACACACACACACACACACACACACACACACACACAATTCCTCCTCAGGCTACCCCATCATTTCTCTGCCCTGTTATAGCAAAATGCCTCAAAAAGTCTTTTGAGAATTTTGTTTTAAAATAGTAAGTGGATACAAATCCAAAATAAATGAAAGAACACTCAAAAGAAGTAAGAGGTTTATTTGTTTTTTTAAAAAGATTTGCAAACTTTCTCTAGATTTGAGCAAACATTATTAGTAGATTGAACAGGTCAATAATGGGTACCTAGAGTAACTGATATACTTTAAAACATGAGCAGTTTGTTCTGGCTGATAAATTAGACAGCTGTTCTGAATTCGATTTCACGCTATTTTCACAAACAGCTAATTTCCTGCTACCAGTAATAAAGCTACCTGAAACTATACACAGTTAACATCATCACCTTTATCTTTCAAGAAAGATATCAAATTACTTGCTTACAGTTAGTTTTGGACATATCCAAAAATATGCCCCCTCTTCAAAAATACAAACAGCTACATTAGCTTCACATTTATTTCAAAATTATACTATACAAAAATCATATTACAATATGGAGTTTTAAAATACGCTATTTTCTCCTCTGCAAGTTTTCTTAAACTAATATATTCTTTACTTCCCACGTTTTCATAGGTCAAACTTGTAAGCTCAGGGAGAAAAAAAATCAAGTCGTACCAGTCTTTGATTGAAAATCCAATTTACATTTTCATCTCCAACCCCTCCTAATCAGCGTTATGCAAATTGCAATACAAAATTTCAATTCTAATAAAAATTTAAAGAAAAAAGACTTTAATTTCAAAGTTCATTTTTCAAGCATGAGATTATTCCATTTTAACTTACTATAAAGGAAATAGTTCTAAAGTAATTCCAAAAACATACACATTTGTATATACTGAATATCAGCATGATATTCCTAAATAAACATCATCAAATTTGAGAAACAGGTAACTACTCAGATTCTCTTTCCTCAATAAGTTGAACGAGTTCATGCTTCTGGATTTGTTAATAAACAACAAATTAAATTTATGCAAGGCTCTTTCTTTAAGTGATACTGTGTAGTAATGAAAATTCTGACTATAAAAAATGGTAAGCTAGTATTTACCCTTGTGGTTATGGCATTCTATTAAAATAATTTATCCTCCTGAAATTTAAGTTTCATTTCTGTGTTCCTTAGTTAAATGTGTAACAAATGTAAAATGGATTCTACACAAATATATATAAATACTCACTGGAGGTTCCAAATAAAAATATTTTTATAGCAAATTTCATTTATTCCTCTATATGTAGCACGTAGTAGCAGAGGAAAGCTACTTTTCTTCCCCTGTATATTATCATGAAATTTCACATTTTAAAAATAAGACTTCATTTCAAATCCTGAAATCACTGAAAAATCTCCAGCCTTACATGAAACTTCTTTTAAGTCTTTTACTTTAATAATACATCTCTACATACAATTGCAGCGATTGTGATGGCTTTTATTAGTATTATATTTCAACAGTTTGTTGCTTTTCACATTCTCTTAACTGTTCTGCAAGAGGCTTATTAAAAAGATTCAGTGACAAATGCCAAGATATTCTGCTATATCTGTAATTATATTAAATAAAATACCCACTACTTTTTCACTAAAAAAAATATTTCTTCAACACGTTGGCTACTTTCTACTGAGTCAAAGCAGGAGTCCTGAGTGACCTATGATCAACTCAGACCACCATGCCTGAATTCTTTAGTTAACAACCACTCTCCATGATACACTTTATCATACTTCTTGCCTTCACTGCCCTTTTATCAGAGGAAACAAATCGGATTTCATCACCTACAGCCAAGATGTCCAAAATCCCTAACTACTTCCTGTGACCAGAAAAAAAAAAAAGTATGCTTCACTAGACTGGGCACACTGCTGGTCCTCCCCTTTGTCCCACTCTGTAAGGCAAGCTAGCGTCACAGGCTTCTTGCCTGAAAATCAATATAAGTTAATCCAACCACCCATCCAGTTCAATCTCTCCCAAGAAGGCCTTGAAGACTAATGTTCCAACACCTCAAAAATAGGAAGATTATAAAAAGGCAGAATAACAATAGAGGAGTATCCTTCCTACAAGGACAAAGATGTGCTGGGCAAAATCTAGAGAAAAGAAATGCCAAATCTGAATTTCGACAGCCATTTCAACCTGAAATTAATGTTATGACATCCAGAGCACAGCCAAAAATTATAGTCGGAATAAGCCACACAAAAACTGTAGCTATGAGATCACTGTTGAACTAAGCCAAAGCTTCCTTTATATAGCATCCACATCCCAGTATTGTTTCTCTTTACAGCAAAGAAATCTTGTACTCTCAAGAGCTGACCACAGCATTATCGAAATAGCCTTACATAGAGGCAAGTTTGGGGAAAAAAAAGGTAAAGGAAATTTAAAGTTTATAGCTTCAGAAGAAACTCTCTACCACCATTTTGTTGGATGGAAGAAACATGCCAGAGATAAAAAACCAGGAAACCTTTAATTTAGAGTAATTCAGCCTATTTTTCATCCCTTGGAAACGTTACCATTTCTATGTAGAGTATGGGCATTCAACAGCATAGAATTCAGCTCTGCAGGAATTCACATTTTAAAACATCATTTTTTAAACCAACTGGATACATGAGAACTTTCAATAAAAATATAATAAACTTTAAAATCTTGGCATGTGCAAACTATCAGATCAGCTGCCTAGAATTCAAGCTCGCATAAAGACTGAATACACCTGAAATTACATGTGTAGGATAGTAATGGTTACAGCCCACAAGAATTATTTGTATCATTCTACCACGAGTTTGACAGTGTTGCCATTAAAAAAGGAGAAGAATTGCTTTTCAACCCTCAGTGAAAATTTAGCCTGTTATCACTATGTGAGATTCTGACATTACGGGAAAGAAGAACAGCTCTTCTGAAAATTAGTCCTTATTTTAAAAGCTTAAGATACTGAACAAAGATAAAAGAAATTAAAGTAATTCTCAAAGAAAAAACTGTCAATATATTCCAAGCTTCTTCAAGAACACAGAGATTTCAGTTTCACATTATAATTAGCTTTCACAATTGAAACTTAGAATTGCTCATGCACAATGACTACGTGAAGGAATAAAGAAAAACTAAAATATTATAATGCAGCCTGTGATTTACTGGGAAAGTAGAGCTTTAATACATGAAGTGAGGCTCAAAGAAAAATGGGCTGGAATATATAATACAGGCAACCAACCAGGTTTAGAACCCACATATTTAAAGGGCCACAGCTTCTGTCATGCTTGGAACCTGGGGACACTTCCTCCACTGCCTTAACAACCTGTTACCACTGCCACTTCCGGAGTCTCAATCTCACACTTCCTGCCAAAAATTCAGAAGCCAGGAAGCATATCTGATTGCCAAAAGTTCTAAAATCCTGCTACATTATGCATTGAGTGAGTTTTATAAGGCAGTCTAAGACCTTAACCAACATTGTAATTTCATTTCCATGAGAAAATATATTCTGAGTTTAAAACTACAAACACAACAGAGACTTTGGATAAAACTGTCTGCGCACATTTAAACTTAATTAGAGCTAATCAGCATAGCTAATAAATTTCTTTTACTAAGGTAAACCTGACACTTTCCAGGCTCAACCATTCACCATTAACTTTAAAAAACAAATTAAACCAAGCAAGTATCTTATCTTCAACTATGCACAAAGGCCAAAAACTGACTTAAAATTCACAGGACCTGCATACAACAACTTAAAAAATGCGCATGACCCACAGCCCTTTCTCGTATGCTATTACACGGCAGAATAAAGCATTTAGCACATATTACCACGAATCCTATATTGATGACATAACGGTAATTGGTTTTGGATTCATTTCCGTGTTTTCAAACACCTTCTAGTTTTGCCAAAAACAGAGTGAACATATTCCTATAAGTAATTTATTGACAGAATCCTGTATTTTAAAACCGACTATTCGTCAAAGATTCTGTGATGAGGTAGGGCTAAAATAGGGCAGGTGGTGGTTTGGACAAAGGGACAATTTATATTACAAGTGACTTTGAGAACTTTTTATATATATCATATATATCTTCATTCCATTTTAATAACCTGTTTTGAGGACTTCTTTAGTTCCCTGTATTTATATCTCAATACACAAATCCTTAAGATCCAGGGCACATTGAAAGGAAGCTTCAAAGACAGGAAAAGTAAAAAAAAAATCTAAAAGGCTGAGAAGAGGGAAAAGGGAAAGGGGAGAAGGCCAGGAATAATCTGTAATCAATCTTTTTTATTTTTGTATTAATACTGCTTACTGTAACTTATAAGGTGCAGGTAGCCATTCCAGGTCCAATTTCAAGTTATATCGCTAAACTAATGAAAAAACTTTTTTATAACTTTTCTGAGATCCCATTTTGTCCTCTTTAAGTGAACCCTTAATTAGACCTAACTTTGATGAACTCAAACCAGCAATTAATACTTCCTAGACCCACTGACTTTTGTTACTTGTTAAATCCTCCTGAGACATACATTAAAACCTGATGTTTTTAGTAGCCATAGCACTAACACAAAGTAATGAATATATTTACATTTTCATTATACCTTGACAGCATTTTTTCCTAAATAGATTATTTATTTAACATATTATAAACTGTAATATGCACTGAAATTTTTCAGTAAGCAGGCTATTTATATAACATTCACCCAGATGCTATCTAATGCAGTTGACTAGAATAACACTGTGTAGACAGCCATTCTTCTATGAGTTATGGCTCACATAAAAAATATTCCAGCAAATATAACTGCTATTGTTTTTAAACTCCTTTAAATACGCAATCACTACCTCTCTTCCTACAATGGCTTTCCAGGTCAAATATCTTTTTTTTTAAGTCTAAAATCCTGTCATAGTGTTACCTTCTCCAAGTTCCAATTTCCTCCCATTCTATCATAACCTTCATTCATTTGGCATTCAGTCACTACCATGTACCATCTAAATTAGAAGCTCTACAAAAGACAAAATCTCTTGGGCTCCAAGGTTTTCTACATGCTAGCCTTCATTTCTGTTTTTTAATAAGGTTATCCATACATCATCAGTAGAAAATCTTCCCCAACCTTTTACAAACTCAGCCTTATCTAGAAAACAATAGAACAGTAATTCAGCCACTATAAGAAAGATTTAATGGATTATACTGTTAACATTCTATAAGAATACTAGACCATTCTACTAAAAAACCTTTAAAGTAAAAACAGGCAGGTTACCTAATTATTTTAAAACAACTGGTGAAAGGGATATGGCTGAAAATACACGTATCATTCTCATATATATTATTACTTAACTTTTTACATGTATATCAAAAGGAACTGTTTTTAATTTTTACACATTTTAGGTGTTTAAAACTGCATGGGATGGCCGGGCACGGTGGCTGACGCCTGTAATCCCAGCACTTTGGGAGGCCAAGGTGGGTGGATCACGAGTCACAAGGTCAGGAGATCGAGACCGTCCTGGCTAACATAGTGAAACTCCGTCTCTACTAAAAATACAAAAAATTAGCCGGACGTGGTGGCGAGCGTCTGTAGTCCCAGCTACTTGGGAGGTTGAGGCAGGAGAATGGCGTGAAACCAGGAGGCAGAGCTTGCAGTGAGCCAAGACTGCACCACTGTACTCCAGCCTGGGCGACAGAGAGAGACTCCATCTCAAAAATAAATAAATAAATAAATATAAATAAAAATAAAAATGCACGGGCAACATACACAATTAAAGAAATGTAAACACTGTCTCACTGTACCACCTCAACTCTCCAGCAAACTGAGACTCTAACCAAAAGCATCTAAGATAATTCTGTGCAACAAACATAGAAGTCAAAAGGTCCAGGAATAAAGAAAAACACACACACATTTTCCTCAGAAAATAGGCTTAATGCCTTCATTTGCTACCTATTTTTCCTCTTTTCCTATCTTCCTTCAGTTATTCCTATGGTTGACAATTCTAACAACTATTTGGTTTGTAAAACAATTGAAAGTAACTTTGGAAAACAGTATTTTGACTAGATACTGTAAGGCTAAAGACAAAAAGACTGTACACAAAATTCTTACTCTAGTTAATAAGTCTGTTTCTCACAGGGATATGGGCTAGCAATCCTTTACATGTATACTATCCACTTCACTTCATATGTATACATATTAAGCAAAGCCACTTTATATGTATAGTATGTATGAGCAAATAAGTGTATTACAGGTAATGAGAACCAAGTTTTTCACTGTCAGAGAAATTACAAATAAGGAAATTGATAAGGCTAGAATGAACTCTGTGCTGTTGGACTGTAATCCAACATATCAGTATGAACTAATGTTTTTTATTATATATGAACACTAATACATAAATATACATACCAAAATATAGATGTGTATGTATGCATGAGTTAGTATACATATTATCCTGACTCTAGTCACTGAAAGGACCTTGAAGCAATTGACACCACCGTAGCAATGAGCACAGGTAGCCCCGAGACCTTGGCTTCTAGATTCCATTCTCCAATAAGGGGCCAAGGCACCTTGAAGTGGTTGATTCTGGGGCTGGGGCAGGGAACAAACAAGATGAGCCTAGAGCATCCTGTGGTGCCAGGTATTAAGAATGCTCAGAAAGAATGGGAATATATAAAAAGGTCCCAGAAACCAAACTGACCTTCCAAGGGCCAAAGCTAGAACAATGAGCAACAAAATAAATAGCATTGAATTATAATACATAAAATACCTATGTATTCATATTGATATAAATTATAATCAATTTAAAATAAATGGAGCAGCTTTTCCTTACAAAAAAATCCTAATACATGTAAAAGGGAGCCAGGCGCGGCGGCTAACGCCTGTAATCCCAGCATGTTGGGAGGCCAAGGCAGGTGGATCACAAGGTCAGGAGTTCGAGACCAGCCTGGCCAACATGGTGAAACCCCATCCCTACTAAAAATACAAAAGTTAGCTGGGCATGGTGGGGCACACCTGTAATCCCAGCTACTCAGGAGGCTGAGACAGGAGAATTGCTTGAACCTGGGAGGCAGAGGTTGCAGTGAGCCAAGACCAGGCCACCGTGCTCCAGCCTGGACAACTGAGCAAGACTCCGTCTAGAAAATAAAATAAAATAAAAATAAATGTAAAAGGAAAGAGGGAAATAGAAAATCACCATTAGAACAGCACAGTAATAATTGTTGCAGATAAAAACCCATCGAACAATGGGATATAAAAATAGTGAGCAAAAGTTTGAGAAGAAACAGGATATGTGCATAATTCCAAAGTATCTACCTGAAGATATTTAACTGCAAAAAGAAAGAAGCTTTACAGTAGAAAAAGCTGGGTAAGAACAGCTTATTCAAGCATGAACAAGGTTACCTGCACCAGTAAGACACATCAACATAACATACCCTTGACATCATGCACTGGAAGGGTACATCGTTTCTGTGGGCCTCTTGCCAAAAATGTATTACTTAAATCTAATCATGAGGAAACATCAGACAACCCCATATTTAGGGACATTCTACAAAATAACTGGCCACTACTCTTCAAAAGTATCCAAGCCATGAAAGACCTGGAAAGATTAAGGAGACGTGGCAAGTAAATGCAATATGGGATCCTGGATGCGATCCTACACCAGAAAATGGGTATTAGTGAAAAAACTGGTGGACACTGAATAAAGCCTGTAGTTTAGTAAACAGCATTATACCAATGTTAATTTTTAATTTGTGGTTATGCAGTATGTTAACATTAGTAGAAGCCAGGTGAAAGGCATAAGGGAATTCTACTATTTTTGCAACTTTTTGGTAAATCTAACATTATCTCAAAATATGAAGTATAATATTATGGTTGCCAACTTTAAAAGGAGGAAGATAGTTATAACAACAAAATTCACTGTAGACAAAACAAAATGGAATAAAATGCACTCCCTTCCACAAAACTGACTGCAAGAAATCATATACAATGTGTATAAGGTGGTAAACCACTCTGTTATACTGATGGTACCCAAATCGCACCCCTAATATCCAAGTGCTTGTACCTCTAGCTCCCAGCTGGGTCATGTGATGGCTTTGGCAGTGTAACATTAGCATGCATAAGGCAAGCTTCTTTCTACATCAGAAATTACTTTCCTGGTACGCACCTTCTCGGAGCCCTTAGTAAAGAGGTCCAGGAACCACACTGGAGAAATCATGTGGAAAGACAGGCCCAGCCAGGCCTTTTCCAGGCCTACCAGAAAAGACACCTAACATGTGAGTAAAAGAAGCCATCTTAAACGTTCCAACCTCAAAAGGTGGCAACTGGAGCAGAAGAAAGACCCACCTGATCCAGCCCAGAATGCAGAATCATGAGGAAAAAATAAATCATATTGGGTGATATACACAGTCCATACAACAGTCAGCTGTCTATTAAAGGTTTCAGTGTATATAAGATTCTTTGCTTTATAAGAAAGACAGTTTTGGAAACACAGCAGACTAAGCTGATACAGAACTTTTTTTTTTCTTTTTTTTGAGATGGAGTCTCGCTCTGTTGCCCACGCTGGAGTGCAGTGGTGCGATCTCGGCTCACTGCAACCTCCGCCCCCCAAGTTCAAGTGATTCTCCTGCCTTAGCCTCCCGAGTAGCTGGGATTACAGGCGCCCACCACCACACCCAGCTAATTTTTGTATTTTCAGTAGAGACGGGGTTTCACCATGTTGGCCAGGCTGGTCTCAACTCCTGACTTCAGATGATCCACCCCCCTTAGCCTCCCAAAGTGCTGGAACTATAGGCATGAGCCACCATGCCCGGCCCATATACATAACTCTTTTAGCATGAACCCCTCTAAATGCTGGATGGAATAGAATAAATAAATACTGCTCTCTAAAAACATAGCTGCCCTCACAAGAGAGGGAAATCCCCAAGTTTGTGTGTAGTTGGAGGCAGGGCTTGCCAAGAGGAAATTTGAAGCCACAATAACATGCTCATGAGCAGATGCTGCTGAGGCTCAGTAGCAAGAGGGTGAGTGAAGGAAGTCTAGCCAAAGGCTGCGGGCCTTATTGGTTAGGGTTTTGACACCAATGCGAGGATAGGGGAAAAAATCATGGGACATGCAAGGTAGGTACGTCTTAGGTATTTATGACATATATCACAGCTTTGGTAAGTTAACCCATAGAAGATTACCAAGTGATGTTTAATGTAAATGCCTGACTGCCCATTAAAATTTGATTTGGAGCTGAGCAGCCTGGCAACTCAACTTAAAGGCAACTCATTGTCTAAATATATGTGGTAGGATGCTTAGCATAGGAGGCATAAAGAAGAATAAGAATTCATGTCACTCCCCTCCAAGAGCATACATAAGCAAACAGATCAACTAGAGTACCACTCAATAAGTGATACTGCCTTGTGATCCTCAATTTACTTTTCTCTGAACTCTCTTCCTCTCCAAAAGCTTAAAAATAGGCAATCCTTTCTGTTAGACATAAAGAGCACACATAGGAATATCAAAAGAAAACACAATATGAGAATAAAAAAAATTATGTCCCAAACCACTACAACTACATCTTAGGTATTTATGACATATATCACAGCTTTGGTTAAGTTAACCCATAGAAGATTACCAAGTAATGTTTAATGTAAATGCCTGACTGCCCATTAAAATTTGAATTTCAGATAAAAGCAAATAATTTGGTGGCATGCTACTGTCATTTTTGTATGCTTTAGCATATAATCAGACCACCCAGTTATCTTAAAATAGTGCCTGACCAATGATATGAACACAGTGAACAAAACTGCGACATTAGGAATGGTTCAATATAAAATAAGCATCTCGGGTAAGAGAATCAAAAAAAATCAAAGCAGATTATACTGTGGGACAAAGGACAGTATCAGAGAAACCTGTCAACAAGTAACAAGGCCTCATCACTAGCTGGAATTCAGCAGTAAGAATATGTCATATTTGAGGAGCTCTGGAATAGGCAGAAAACAAAGATCAAGGTAAACTCCCAAATCCAGAGAAACCACATTCCTGAGAGTATTACAAAAAGGCTTCCAAGAAAAAGCAGGAATTGAACCACTGAATCTGAGATCAAAGACGGCAGATGTATCCTGCAAACTTTCACCTCAAACACTCAGATCCCAACTACAAGCAAGATTACAATGATTCCAAACCTTGAGTATTTGGCTAGAGTTCTTGGAAGTCATCCTGTGGCCAATTCTGTCCACTGTCTCCACCATATCTATCCATCCAACTTCTCTGTCAGTACCACTTCAGTTTATTTAGTTGCTAGTATGCCCATATCCCAGTCCCAGAAGATGAACTGTTTCTGGCCAAAATCAGTCATAAGAACAGAATTCCACGTGATTGCTTTTTAGGAATGGCCACATAACCTAGTTCTGGCCAATATGAAATAAAACAAAAGTGAATTATGTGGATTGTGGATCTTAGGAGAAGGCTTTTAGTTTTCTGATATAGGGGGATGAACCAGGTTGGCGTGACCCTTTTTAAAATCCCTCCATACTTTTTTTCTGCTTACAATGCATCCTTGATGCCTGAAGTTCTAATAACTACCTTGCCTCTAATGAGATCACAAGCATGAGGCTAACGGCCAACACAGAAAGACAGAAGAGCAAAGAACAGGCCTGCATCCCTATCAACAGTGTACAGCAGCTACGCCAGCCCTCCACCACCTACCTCCAGATTCATCGTTTAAGAAAAATCAATTCCTAATTGTTGAAGCTACTGTGAGATGAGTTTCCCTATTACTTACACCCAAATGCATTCCTTAACTGATGTACTGTTTCCCACTAAGGATAGTGATAGACTCACTCACCAGGTTGAGAATAAACTGAAAGTTTATTAAACTTGTCTCTGAGAATAAACTCAGAGACAAGAGATGTAGAGATTGGGGAAAAAAGTCTTCAAAGAGAAATAAAACTCCATCAGCCATACCACATATACACATACAAAATCAGTATTGTGGTAGTGGTTACCCAACAGGCTCTGCAGCCAGACTACCTGGGCCTAAACCTCAACTCTGCTGCTTCCTGGACCTGTGACCTTGGGCAAGATAGTCAACCTCTCTGTACCTATCTCAGCATTCTCATTTCTAAAATGGGGCTAACAGTATATTCCCCTTAAGAATGTTTGTGAGAATAAACAAGGTAATACATAGAAAACTTGGAATAGTTCCTTGCATACAGTAAGCTCTCAGTAAATACTGGTAATCACCTGTATTATGCAAACATATATAAATATATAAAAATGAATGATACAGTTTATGCAGTGCAAACATGACACAAATTGTGTGGTACAAGTGAGCAGAAAATTCCTCACAGAACTCACCCACCTCTAACACATTGTCTCAACTGAGTAGTGCTTCTGTGTCTGCTAATAGCTGCATCAGCAGCTCTAACTCTTGGATGGCATAAAAATGATGCAATTTCACAACAAGAAGATTGACTAAACATAAGCCATTTACACTTCAAAAAGCAGTGCAAGGGCAAAAGCGTAACGTCAGATCTCATCTCAAGTATTGTTCTTACCTGGCAAGTGGAAACAATAACTCATCTCCTAACAGTAATAGAAAGGTTAAATTTATGATAGGCTTCAAGTATACAATACCACCATATGCCTAATCCTTTCATAGTTATCTAGTGTCACAGTCCAATGCACACTTCAACGGAATCACTAGTTTCTATGAATGTCATTAGTACGAGCTGGTCTGCACATGGGTTCCCTTCACTTGCATTTTTTTTTTTAATCAACAAGAATTGTCACAGGCAGATTCTAACAGATCCACTGAAACAGATAACACTAAATCAGTTGAACTGATAATAGGCAAGAGAGAACGTTCAGAAACCAATTGTTCCTATGATAATAGTAACCTGGATCAAGACAGACAGCAAAAAATAAACAAGGAAACTATTTTACAGTTTTGAACAAAACAGTATAAACATTCCACCAGGCTTCCCACACCCTAACTACTCTGGTTTTGTAAGCTACTTTAGAGCTTTGGGTATTGGACACCTACTTGTAAATTCCCATTACCATCTTATTTTTCTCAGTCCTAATATATGCCTGATGTTCCTATATAAACATTCCTAGCCTTGTACTTCAGTTTAGGCCAGCTTCTTTTACTTTCCATTCCTTGGATATCTCATCAAACCTAAATATATTCTATTCTATTTCCAAATTTTAGTTATAATTTTAGAAGTTTAAAATTTGAAGGAGAGGACAATATTTTTAGAGTTGACTCCAACACTCACTGGTTTGGCGAAATAAAGTCATTTCTGTAGTTAGAAGGTAATACTTAGCACATGGAGATCAAGCATATGGAAATTAAAATGACAAAACTATATAACTGCTGTCTAAATGCAAAGTTATGACTACTGGATACATTTCACTTTTTTAAAAAACAAGTGAGGGACCATAAATACAAATGCAGATGGTCCTGGAGTTCATTTCACCTCCTCCCCTTCCCCAATTTCTGGATTTTTCAAGGAGCTAGTTCAGCAGGTCAGAGTTAACAACGCAAGAATAGGCTGAAATTAGCTGCTTAGCAACACAAGCTCCCCACTCTAGTAACCTGGAAGTTCCCAGACACACAGTATTACAGTCACCTGGAGGTTCCAGCAAATATGTGGAACTTTTGTGGGGGTGGGAGGGCAGCAGTTGAGATTCCTCTCCTGGAGTGATTACAGGGCACCCTGCAGCACAGGCGAGCCTAGCCTAAGTCCTTTCCGTGGGATGAGCACCTGAGGAATCCCACAAGCTCCCAGGTATGTGTGACCTGCCCACTTTGTACATTGTCCTCAAAGGCTGCATGCTATGCTTTTACAGGTGCATTTTCACTTTTAATTCTCATAGTCTATGACAGGTCATTTACAGATAAGGAAACTGACTTCCAAGAAAGTTAAGATGACCTATTTACTCACCTTTTAAATTAACAACAAACTAAGGAGAATTTAGTGCTTAAAGTGTAATTTCCAAAAGGTTTAGAATCATGACCTTCATGCAAATATAAAAGGAACACATGCCAAAGATATTATTCAGCTCATCAATTAATGAGATTATTAGTACAAACTTGAGTGTGTGTGTGTGTGTGTGTGTGTGTGTGTGTGTGTGTGTGTAGGTGGAGTATTACTGAAATCAATGGTGAATCTATTATAAGAAGGGTTTCCAAGCTGAGTGACAAAGCATTCAGGGTGCCTCACTGAACTAACAGAGACACTGTATGAACTACTAACAGGTTTTTTGGACCCAATTACTTAGTAGAAGTTACTATTAGGTATTTGGTGCTGGTGGCCCCATGAAAAAATTACTGAGACACTGAAGACTAAAACTGAAAGTTTAGTAATGTCTACCATAGAGCAATGAAACATAATATCTGGGGATATTTCTTCAGGGTGGAAATCAATTCTATCCTACTGGACAAAATTCATTTGCATTATTATAGATAAGAATCTTGGTCGGGCGCGGTGGCTCATGCCTGTAATCCCAGCACTTTGGGAGGCCGAGGCGGGTGGATCATGAGGTCAGGAGTTTAAAACCAGCCTGGCCAAGATGGTGAAATCCCGTCTCTACCAAAAATACAAAAATTAGCTCAGAGCAGTGGCAGGCGCCTGTAATCCCAGCTACTCGGGAGGCTGAGGCAGGAGAATTGCTTAAATCCGGGTGGCAGAGGTTGCAGTGAGCCAAGATTGTGCCACTGCACTCCAGCCTGGATGACAGAGTAAGACTCCATCTAGAATCGTTTGCATGACTATTAGTTAACTTCTATCCCTACAGCATTGCAAAATTGCCTAATCAAAAAAAAAGTGAAAGGTATACACCCTGTATCTAGTCACTTCAGGATCCACTAAACAAGCCCAGCGTTCCACTGAAAAGACTCCTAGTAATCTTTTCTGATCATTTTCAAGTCTTGGACAACCTTTCCCACCTTAGATTATGGGCAGTACTACCAAGAGTACCACAAAAATCACGATGCGGGAGTGAAAAAGCAGGATCAGCTATAATCCATGAATATTTCCATCCAGAATTGCAGAGCATCCACTGCCAGCAAGGACATATTGAAAGGGACACACTAATATGCTGATACTGCCACATAACCTGCTACAGCCTTTCTGGAAAGCCACCTAGGAACATGTACTGGAAACCCTACAGGCTCATAACTTTGATTATTTAATTCTACTCCCAGAAATACACACTCAACATACAATCAGAAGTGGACTAAGGTACATAAATATCTCACAGTGTTAATCACAAAAATAAAAAATTTAAAACAAGTTAATTTACCACCTTAAATATTTCTTCTTTCCAGAAGCCTTCAATAAACCCCCAAATCCTTCCTGTGTGATCCAAGGTTGCCCTTACATGTCTCTTACCACATTGTACTCTAATGTCTCACTTGCTTATCCATTTGCCCTACTAGGCTATAATCTCTATGGAAACTTGGACCATGTATTTCAATTGCATGGATTTAGTATGATGCTACATGCATAACAGACAAAGTTGGCTCAATAAATAAAATGTTAAACAGCCTGAAAACATATGTTTCCTCTATAGAAATGAAACCATAATTACAAGTATTAACAAGTATTTTTCACAAAGAGGCCATTTTAATTCCATTTTCAAAAAGCTTTGATATATTCTGACTTACAGTAACCAATTCAGATGCGAGATTCACCAAAAAAAAAAAAAAAAAAGTGAGGTCAGAAACAGCTTTACTGACTTCAAACTTCAGAACTCTTCAACTATCATTCCTTAAAATCAAAAGCATGGGCTTATTTAATAGGATGATATCATCCAGAGAAAAGAATGTGATCGTGTGACTACTTTCTTTGGCTTTAAGCCATAACTAGAAGAATGTATTCAGTCACAGATGTCTCATTTGTAAAGGGATACTCAGGAATTGAAATGCCTGAAGAAGCATAACTTACAAACATCTCTCTGGTTAACGATTTTCCAAAAGAAAATTGTTTGTGTGATTTTAACACCCAAACTTTATAGAGTGTATATATCTCATAATATAGTAATTTTTGGCCAATAATTCCAAAGGAAAATTTTAGATTTACTTCCCCCAAACTCAATAAAACACCAAAACAAAATTATATATGAGAAAAGCCTGAAGTTATATCTTAACCAATTACATTGATAAAATATCAGCATTACGTGTAGACATTTTGAAAGGCAGACCAAGGGCCAAAAAAGTGGATATGCACCTCAGATGTTGCTGGTGTGGAAAAAGGTATCACCTCATCGCACTCAGGTGAGCCATCCTCTGCCACTGGGTATGTGTCCTGAATGCCTCATCACACTATACATTTTCACAGACAACAATAAAGCTCAAAAGAAAACCACTGGATATTAATCGTTGAAAAGAAGTTCTAGATAATGATAAATGTTATCATGAAATGTGATGGAGGGTGTTTTTAATTATTTTAAAAGGAAGTTGCTATTCCTCTTGGGTAGTGCCTTTCACATTTTAAGGAGCATTAAGGCTGACCGAGGGTCTCGTTAAAATGCAGATATTTATTCAGTCAGTCTGAAGTGGGGCCTGAGATTCTGCTTTTCTAACAGGCACTGAGGCATGCCAATGCTATTGGCCTAAGAATTTCAATTTAAGTAACAAGGTTTTAGAGCACCATACAAAGAAATTTATAAACTTAAACAAGGTATGCAACTGTGCGACCTTCCATTTTCCTGCTCCCGCTTCCTCTTTTCATTTCTTCTTTAATCTCAAAGCACTGATTGTCTCCCCTGATGATTTATCAAGACCTTCCTGTTCAGGATTCTCAATATCCTACAGAAGCTGCAATTTAAGATAACAAAACAGGCCAAGCATGGTGGTACACCTGTAATCCCAGCACTTTGGGAGGCCAAGGCGGGCAGATCACCTGAGGTCAAGAGTTCAAGAGAACCCTGGCCAACATGGCGAAACCCCGTCTCTACTAAAAATAAAAAAATTAGCCAGGCGTGGTGGCATGCACCTGTAGCCCCAGCTACTCAGGAGGATGAGGCAGGAGGATCGATAGAACCTGGGAGACAGAGGTTGCAGTGAGCCAAGATTGTCACTGCACTCCAGCCTGAGCAACAGAGCGAGACTCCATCTCCAAAATAAAATAAAATAAAATAACGAAAACAGGTCCCAGTAAGCATTCTTGACAAGGACATCTGATTTTCCAAAAGTAGGTAACTGATACCTATATTGGGATAGGCTGGAAAGCATTACATGAAAAGAAAATTGTTGATATGTCTTCCCATGCCTAGAATGGTTCCCAGTACACAGCAGGCAGGCACTCAAATAATTGTTCAACAAATGGCTATGATCTGATTAAGATTTTTCAGTATTTGAAGGGTAATTAGGTAGAAAACAAGTAAAGATCTTCTATGCTATTTACGGTGGAAAATAGAGAGCTAAGGGTAAACTTCAGCTTTTTTAAAATACATATTTTAGTCATCAGTTGTCTGTCCAATAATGCTACATGTTTTCTCAAAAAGACTGAGCTATCTGAACATGTTCCAGCATAAAAACCAGATGGCTATCTCAGAGGATTACTAAGGAATACACACACCAGGAACAGTAAAGGTTTCAAAGGTCTCCTACCCATCCAAAGGATTCACTCAGAGCATGTGTATTTGGATTAGGAAGAAACTTTTTCTAGAACAGTTTTCCTATTTTGAAAAAAGAAAAAAAGGTTTTTTGGCAGCAATTGGGCTGGCAAGCCAAAACCTTACACATGACCTATGAGTAAATCAAAAGCTTAAATTCACTGGAACTCATAAAAACAAAAGAAACTATTCCACTGTGAAAAATGAATACCTTCAAAGACAATGGTGTGACAAAGACACAGAAATACTCAGAATAACATCCATTTGTTGCAGCATTTGTTTGCCACCTACAAAGAATAACTTTCAGATGCATTTTACCAACAGCAACAAAAAAAATAAAATGTATTTGATGGGAAGTTAATGCACAAATTCACCTCGTTTTCCTAGAAAACCTCAAAGACATCTCGTGTTAATGTGTCAATACCCACAGATTTTTTTGGTGTAATTATGCCGTAATATTTTATCATTGTGAATATTAAAACTACCCCACAGGCTCACTTGATATTTTCAATTTTTTCATCTAAAAAAACCATTTTTTCTAATACTGCTACAAAATAAAAATTTAGATAATTTTTTAAAGATTTAAAATTATTTTTAAACTCACTTTAGAAGTTTTAGTTTCTAAAAGCATGGAACTATTAAAATGCTAATATGGAAAGATGGGGGGGCAGGTGCCATAAGACTAAATACCACTGAATCAAAGGAAATTGATTGTCTAGATGATGTGGAAAAGATAGCTTATAAAGTTAATGAGATCTTATTTAAGGCAAGAGAAACAATTTGCTCACGGACAACAAGGATGAATCAAAATGTTGTCATCAAGTATAACTAATCTAATTAAAAGTACAGCAAAGGCTGGGCTCGGGCCTGTAATCCCAACACTTTGGGAGGCCGAGGCGGGCGGATCACGAGGTCAGGAAATCGAGACCATCCTGGCTGACACGGTGAAACCCCGTGTCTCTACTAAAAATACAAAAACTTAGCCAGGCGTGGTGGCGGGCGCCTGTGGTCCCAGCTACTCGCGAGGCTGAGGCAGGAGAATAGCATGAACCCGGGAGGTGGAGGTTGCAGTGAGCTGAGATCACGCCACTGCACTCCAGCCTGGGCGACAGAGCAAGACACCATCTCAAAAAAAAAAAAAAAAAAAAAAAAAAGGACAGCAAATATTAAGGCAAATATGAAAATAAAACAAAATACGAAGAAAAGTTAAACTATACCAAATGCAGTAAGTAATAAGTAAAAAATAAGTAAAGGGTAGTTAACAGCAAGTCTCAGTAAATTAGAAATAGGTTGAAAGAAATAAAAAAGAAGAATTCCAACAATTATAAGTTATACGCCAAGAAAAGCATGAACAGTCAACACAGTGAGTGTCCTGGAAACATTCCAGAGATTTGAGAGCTACGTAGGAGGATTTCTGATTGGGTAGGAGAGTACCATAAGATCCTTGAAACTCTGGAATTCACAAATTCGTATCTTCCACTATCTTAGCCCTTGATAACAAAAATATCACAATCCTTAAGCAGCAGATAAGGCTAATCCTTACACAGCAGCTTTAGTCAGAGATTTCTTTACCATACCAGATGAAAGTGTCTTGGGCAACCCGCTGGGGTCCCCTTCCACACTTTGGAAGCTTTGTTCTTTTGCTCTTTGCAATAAATCTTGCTACTGCTCACTCTTTGGAAAAAAAAAAAAAAAGAAAGTGTCTTAAAAAACCAATCAACAATAACCCTGAAAGTTTTCTAGGTTTTAAAGCAAGAATACTGCTTTAAACAACAAGAACAAAAGTCATTATAATTTTAGGGGAAATAGACATTCAGAAAACCTAGGTTTTAGTCCAGTTCTATCTCTAGTATCTATTTCTAAGGCTTTCTTTGGAAAAGAAATATTCTTTTCCTTGCCTATGAAGTTCTTTCCAAACTTACAAGGCTACGACGTACTCCTTGCTAATACGAATAAAAACAAAACATTTGACAAATTACCACAAATTAAACACAGATCAAGTATGTCTAATGAAAATTTATCATCTGAATTGAGATGTGCCAGATACGTAAACTACACACCTGAGTTTGAAGATTCTGTGCAAAAAACGGAAACTATAGCATTAGTAGTGATTTCTATTGACCACATGTCAAAATAATATAATTTTAGATTAAATAAGACAAACAAAATTAAAATTCATAACCTTTATAATGAGACTATTAGAAAATTTTGAATTATATAACATACGAAATTACATTTCCATTGTGTTGTACTAAACAGCCTGTTATGTACTGAAATCTTTCACAGTAAGATTTGTCAACCCTTTTTATTTTCCTACAACATCTATTAGATGTGTGGCCCATAATGGATAAGCAGGAATGAACAGAGAAACCTTTGTATGTAAGTAGAAAACAGAAACTAAATAAGACCAAAATTGACTCTCTGATTCATATACTAGCTCTATGCTATTAGAATTACATGTTAAAACCTCTTTTTTGGAAGTCATGGTAATACTGAAATATGGACCCAGTCAATTTTTTTTTAGTTTACAGCTGAAAAGCTAATTGACATACCCTATTTGTTATGAGCTAAATTGTGCCCACCCACCCCCCCACTCCCACCAAATTCATAAGTTGAAGTCCTAACCCCCAGAACCTCAGAATATGGCTGTATTTGCAGACAGGATCTTTAAAGAGATAAATATAGTACAGTGAAGTCAGATAGGTGGGCCTCTCCCAGATGGGTGCTGGGAATACAGGTGAGAGCCACCACACGTGGCTAACTATAGCACTTTTATTTGTCAATCATGCCTCAAAAAAGTTGAAAAAATAAAAATAAAAAGATCAGTATTCTTAGTAAACTGGAAATTAAAACCTCTGTAACTGCTGTGTCTTAAAAGTTTGTGAAATAAGTACATGGCAAATAACTGTTCTGAGTTTTGACTATTTACCTTTATTTTGGCAATAAAGTGTTTCAAGTAAATCAACTTTACTTTTTTAAAAAAAGTTTAAAGCATATTAATTTCTGAACATAAATCTTCATGATAAAAACTGAAATGATCACAGGCACTGAAGAACAAAGCAAAAAGTTTAGATGTCTAAGACTATGCTGAAAAGGCACCTAGTTTACAAGGCCTCAAACAGCCATAGTACACCCTTACCAGTTAAATATTCTGTATTAATTTAAAAATAAAAACCTTTCAGATGAAAAGTTTAAAAAGACAAAAAATACTTAAAATGCTTGAATTCTTACATGTCACCATTACATGCTTTACACATATTGTTTAATTTTCACAACTCTCCTTGGAAAGTGTCATTCTCCCTATTTTAATAATGAGAAAATCACAATGTAAAGAACTGCAACCAGAATATATTAAAAAAAAAAAAAAAACTCCTAAAATACGTTTTTATAAAAAAGGAAAGATAACCTAATTGAAACAATGAGTAAGAGCCATAAACACTTAAGACGAGCAAAAGTCAATAAACACATTATGAGAAATCTGTCATAAGGAAAATGACAAAAATCATAGAGACATCTCTATACACCCACCACAATGGCTAAAATTTAAGAATAATAATTCTAAGGATTGGCAAAGATCATTCTAGGTGGCAAATTTAGCATGAGCTAAGGGAAAACACTGAAGCAAGAACAAATGTTCCTATAAGGCAATAGTGGGTATGTGAGTTTACCTTAGGTGCAAAGAGGTGATTGTACCATCACAGTGACTACAGTTAATAAATAATATATTGTATGCTTGAAAACTGCCTTCAAGATAAGGACTTTAACCTACAGTTGGTTGGCAAATCAGAACCATGACATCAATGACACAACTAAATGAGTTTTAAAGTACAGTAGTTCCCCTTATCTGTATATAACCTACACACACCCTCCTGTATACTTTAAATCATCTGTAGATTAGACTGTCTGTGGCCAGTTACGAACCCACCCACACAGTAGGGCAGGAAGGAGTGAAGCTGAGCTCCACCTCCTGTCATATCAGCAGGGCATTAGATTCTCACATGATCCCAAAGCCTATTGTGGACTGCACATGCAAAGGATCTAGGTTGCACACTCCTTATGAGAATCTAATGCCTGATGATCTGTCACTGTATATATTACATGTAATAATAAATACCTACATACATTATATATTACAATGCAATAATAGAAATAAAGTGGACAATAAATGTAATGGCTTGAGTCATCCTGAAACCACCACCACCCACCCCTCCAGTGGTCCATAGAAAAACTGTCTAATATAAAACCAGTTCCTGGTGCCAAAAAAAGTTGGGTGACTCGCTGCAGTGGAGTTCTTAGAATATATCACTCTAGGATATGGGGGGGATTACTGTTTATAAAAAGCTGCTTTGTATAGAATGTTCCAAAGACAGAAGACACAGAAACTTTCAAAAACTATCTCTTTCTCTGCAATAAATGTCTCTTCCTCCACAATCTGATTCTACCCTCACTGTTCAACCACATTCTTCCAAAACCCTCATGAGCACTCTCCAACCTGGCCACACTCTCTCTCTCTCACCACCGTGTCCATTTTCACGTCCAGATGCAACACTGAGTTCTCTCTCTAGGATGGCCCATCACTTGCGATGCTCTTCTGGAAACCTCCCTGTGCTTCTCTCCATTTAAATCCAGTGCTCTTTTGCAGGCCCAGCTGATGTCTGACTCACCCCATGATTTATCTGCCGACTCCAGCCTGCCTCTCATCCCGGTGTCTACAGTTCCTATGTGGGTTCTACAATACATAATTCAGCATCTCACTGGAATCTTATGTTTTGTTCTTGACACTCAATTAGCCCATAAACTCCTAGATAGAAGGGACCACTTCTTTCAATTTTGTATCCCCCTCAGCACCTAGTACCAAAGGGTATACACCAGTTAGCTGATAGATCCCCTTGATAACCAGAAATACAGACACACCCTCTGGCCTGGCAACTGCATTTCTAGAAATTTACACTACTAAAATACATAAATATGAAAAATAGTATGATCAAAAATATGCATTGTAGACTGTAACAGTACAAATTGGAAGTAACATAAATGTCTATTAAGACTAGTGAGGCCAGGCCGGGCGCAGTGGTTCACGCCTCTATAATCCCAGCACTTTGGGAGACCGAGGCTGGTGGATCACCTGAGGTCAGGAGTTCGAGACCAGCCTGGCCAACATGGTGAAACCCCGTAACTACTAAAACTAGAAAAATTAGCCAGGCGCAGTGGCAGGCGCCTGTAATCCCAGCAACTTGGGAGCCTGAGGCAGGAGAAGCCAGGAGGCAGAGGATGCAGTAAGCTGAGATTGCACCACTGCACTCCAGCCTAGGGTACAGAGCGAGACTCTGTCTCAGGAAAAAAAAAAAAAGACTAGTGAGGCCAGGCACAGCGGATCATGCCCGTAATCCCAACACTTTGGGAGGCCAAGGCAGGAGGACTGCTTGAGCCCAGGAGTCAGAGGTTACAGTGAGCAATGATCACACCACTGCATTTGAGCCTGGGCTAACAGAGCAAGACCCTGTCTCTAAAAAAAAAGAAAAAAAAAGAATGACCAGTGAATTTCAGTCCATTACTGTCCATTAAAAAAACAAACAGTTGGGATATCTATACACATAGACATAACAAAGTAGTAGGTGAAAACAGTTGCAGAAAAGGGTATTCAATAGGCCTATTTTTGTTTTATTCATACACACAAAATTTAAAAGAACACATAAATTTTTAGACTGATAATGTCCGGTAACTAGGACACATTTTTTAGTTTGGAAAAAAAATGAACAAAGAGCACATGTGATGTTTGTAGTAACAAATATTTATGTATTTTAACTCACTGCCCACAAACAGTAATTTACAAAACAATTTATAATATGAACACATTTTGTTTAAAGTATGAGAAATAATAGTTATTTCTGGAAAAGGGAGTACAGGAAACTTTCACATTCTAGGGCAGATAGTTGTTTTTTCTTAAATAATGAGCACTTAGTTACAAAAAAAAAAAAAAGAATTTTAAAAAGAATTCCATCTTTCCCTGGGCTAGTGATCATCCCAGAGGGTTAAGTATTTTGGTCCACAAAACTTTTCTTAGCAACTTCTTAATCTGTAGAGAACTACCTTTATTGTTGGATTGTCCACTATACTAAATCTTAATAAGCATTACAGATAAATCATACCAACAAATAAAATTCACAGAAGCTGGTATCAGAAAAAACTTCTCTGCCAGGTGAGTATTAAACACTGAACCTGTTTGATAAAGGGAATCTCTCCAATAAAAAAATTAACCTCAAAAATTTACTGAATTACTGTAAAAGATCCGGCATCACACTGGCCCTTATAGTAATAGTTCTGTTGTTAAACACCTTATACATATCCAGAGTAATCACAAACTTGCCCAAATCCTTGTTTCAAGGTCAAAACTAGAGATAAGACAAGAATCCTACACAGTTTTACCCATAGGAACAACAGGAGGTAACTGTGAGAACCACCCAAGAGGCCAGGCACTGGATTCTGTTCCCTGGATCTGTACTTCATATATCACCATTTCCCTACAGGCCTTGCTCCAATGTGGAACTTACAAATGTCCTGACTTAAGCAGTCAAGGCCTTCTCCACTAAGCCTCTATTAAAAACAAAGGGGCAGAGCTATCAGCTCCCTCCTTTTCCATCTCAGCATCCACCCTGAGATTCAACTGCCTTTTTGCTTTCCCCTCAAACTTACTGCTGAACAGCTTATAGCTACTGAAGCTAAGTGCTTGATTTGTACTAATTCATTTATACACATAATAACCCTATGATGTATTCCTATTTTACAGATGAAGAAATGGAAGTACAAGGTGAAATAACTATTAAGTGGCAAAGCTAGGATTTAAACCCAGATATTATAGTTCCTCAATACAATCTTTATTATGCAGCAGTCAGTATCCCTGATATATGTCTTTTAACCTAGAAACCATTAGAAATCTTCAGACAGTAATGCTCTTAGGTTTCAGTAACAAATCTGAAAGTCAACATTTCACCCAAATCAAATGTTTACTCTAGAAAATGCTGTTTGTCCTGGTAATACTGGATAAACGAGAACTAGGAAATTTGCAAAATGTGCTTCCCAGTGCCTTTTGGGGTTTTTTTTCTTTGGATTGTTTTTGTTTTTGTTTTTGTTTTTGTTTTGAGATGGAGGATGGAGTCTCTCTCTGTCTCCCAGGCTGGAGTGCAATGGTGCAATCTCAGCTCACTACAACCTCCACCTCCCAGGTTCAAGCAATTCTCCTACAATTCTCCTACCTCAGCCTCCCAAGTAGCTGGGATTACAGGCGTGTGCCGCCACAACCAACTAATTTTAGCAGAGACTATTTTTAGTACAGACAGGGTTTCACCATGTTGGCCAGGCTGGTCTCAGAATTCCTGACCTCAGGTGATCCTCCTGCCTCAGCCTCCCAAAGTGCTGGGATTACAGGCCTGAGCCACCGCGCCTGGCCTTTTTTTTTTTTTTTTTTAACTTTGAAAAGCTGTTTAAAGTAATAAACACTCAACCTTTTAATCTACTAAAATAATAAAGGGATTAAGACTCTAGTTATGTAACTGTTTTCCTTCACCTGTAGAATAAGACATAAACATGTATATGTATATAAAGCTTTTAGCATAACTAGGCGTGGTAGTTCATACCCACAATCCCAGCACTTTGGGAGACTGAGGCAGGAGAATGGGATCACTTGAGCCCAGGAGTTTAAGACCAGCCTGGGCAACACAGGGAGACCCCTTCTCCACAAAAAATTTAAAAATTAGCCAGGTGGGGTAGTGCACACCTGTAGTCCTAGCTACTCCAGAAGTTAAGGTGGGAGGATCGCTTGAGCATGGGAGGTCGAGGCTGCAGTGAGCCATGATGGCACCACTGCACTCCAGCCAGGGCGACAAAGCAAGACCCTGTCACAAACAAAAACATGACTTGGGAGTAAGGAGTCAATGTCACCTACTATTCCCAGCATGTGGAAAAACGTACAAGTTAAATTCAATGCCCAAAACACGACCCATGAATTCATGTTGACAGAAAACAAATGTAAACGTTTAAACAATTATACTTTCTGTTTAAATTTACGAAAGTTATGAGAAAAAACTAATAGTTAATTGAAAATACTTTAACATTACCAAATTATCACACAGTAGTCAATTATTACACAAGAATGAATGCTAACAACCTGCCTCATAAACTCATTCATTCCATCTATTTCCATGTGAAGTACCTGAATGTCTTATTTTCAAAAGTTTTTCTCTTTCCTGTGCGATGCCTTGTCTTACCTTTAACAATGAGATAATAGTCTTTGCTCTCCTTTCCCCCACGAACACCCTTACACAACGTTTCCCTTATCTAATTATGTGTTCGTCTGAAGTTCCAGAGACTAATCTTGAAACAATTCAGGCGACTACTGAATTCTCCTCCACCTGGAGATTACTTCAAGGCTGCAGTTAATTTGCAACCCAGTTATACTCAGGCGCCAGCCCATTCACCAGATGAGGCAAAAACCCAAGATAAATATCTGAGCAAGTCACGTAGACTGGGGCCCCCGAGCCCCAATACCAAGCGCCCCTTTATAAGCTCTTACATTTTGTCCAAATTTGAAATGGTTTCGTTAAGGCAGAAGCTTGGACTACTTCCCCATTGCTAGCTTTGGAAAGTAGTCACTTTCCTTTCCGGGCCCTTCGTCCTTGTTGATTGGCTCTGCAAGCAGCGAGCAGCCCAGCCTGAACTCGGTTACACAGTAATTTCAAATCTTAGAAGAATAAAATATCCTGAGTGTTATATAGATTTAAAACACTTGATATAATCATTTGCCAATCTTTTATTAGATAAGCTCGGGGCACTTTCAATGGATTAAAAATGCATCACGGTCAGGCAACGATGACCGTCCTTAATGCCTGCAATGTCTAATGTTCCGCTATGTTCCAGATTTGTTCGCGCTGTTGGTGGAGGCGCAACAGCCGGGAAGCGCTTACTGGGCTCCACACGGACTACACACACTGTATCTTGTCATTTCGTCCTCACAGCAAGGACTGATACGTAAGCTCATTTTTCAGATGAGGAAAATGAGACCGGCGAGAGGCTGATATGCTTAGCGGTACAGAGCTAGGAAATCAGGGACAGAACCCAGGCTGGAAGTCACGCTGGCTCTAGAGCCCCGTCCTTTCGACCTGTTCCCGTCGCTGGGGAGGGGCACGTCAGTGACACTAAACCGTGGAAAGAAATACAGTACCAGTGGAAAGCAGGGGCTCCAACGGGGTAAAGGCATGCTCCATAACGGATTATTGGCCTCTGCATTAAAAAAAAAAAAGTGAAGTTAGACTCTCAGTTTTAATTAAACATCGCGCAGAACCAACAGCACGGGAGCCGCCTGAACCTGGCACTCGGCAGCGGCGCGCTCCGGGACCCAGGAGCCAGCTGAGCTGCGGCGCAGCACCCGGCGCTGGGGACCCGCCACGGCTCGCCTACAGCACCGCCGCGGGCGGGGGCCCCCGGAGACCGGCCGCGCGGGCCGCTATGAGGTCCGAGGGGTTGCCCCTGCCGCCTCTCTCCGCGAACCCATCACCATCCGGGAACCTGGGGAGCGAGAGGCGGCCGCCCCCTTCCGCGGCCCGCGCGCCCGGCAGCAGTCGCACTTACACAATGGCTGGTAGGAGCCACAGACTGGAGATCGCAGGCTGCGGGAGCTACGGCGATCGACCGCTCGGCGCTCGGCTGAGGAGCCTTGGCGCGCGGTCCTCGCTCGCAGGTTTTAGCCCCCGGGACGCGAGGTGGCCCCGCCCGCTTCCGGGAGCCGGAGGCAAGTGGGAGCCGCGCCCTGTGCTCTGCGTCCGGCACTACCCACCTCAAGTCTCCAAGGCTTCGTTTTCTGGGCTGGTTCTGCTAGCTGTAGTACTGCTGCCGGGCCCTCTGCACTCAGCTTTAACAAGGAGGCCATTTGCTTCAAACTAAGTGGCGAATTCCCTATCACCCATGCTTGACCTAGCTTCCAAGCCAAACTTACTTTCCACTGTGCTGCTTCTAGTCCTGCTACCGGTGTCCTCCCTGAGCCGTCGGGTTAAAAGCTTTCCTTCCTGGCCGGGTGCGGTGACTCACGCCTGTAATCCCAGCAGTTTGGGAGGCCGAGGCGGACGGATCATGAGGTCAGAAGTTCGAGACCAGCCTGGCCAGCATGGTGAAACCTCGTCTCTACTAAAAATACAAAAAATTAGCCGGGCATGGTGGCGCGCGCCTGTAGGCCCAGCTACTCGGGAGGCCGAGGCAGGAGAATCGCTTGAACCCGGGAGGCCGGAGGTTGCAGTGAGCCAAGATCACACCAGTGCACTCCAGTCTGGGCGACAAAGCGAGACTCCATCTCAAAGAAAAAAAAAAAGCTTTCTTTAGGGAACACTCCGTTAAGAGCTTTCCTTACTTTGCTTTGTGGAAACAGAATGTTTTTGTTGGAAGAAACTTTAAGCCACCTATCTGCAGCTGCAGAGCGTCACTGTTGCAATACAGGCTTTTCCAATAGTGAGCGAACCTAATCTCCCTCTACCCTCTTAAGGTTTCCACCTGGGCCTAAGAGGTTAAATTGACTTAAGACAGTTTAACAGGGGAAAAGCTTACAGCTATGTGCATGGGAGTCCACAAGAAAAGACCCAAAGAAGGAGGAAGCCTAAATGCTTATATACGGGTTTAGCTACAACAAATTTCAAAAGTCCATGTTTAAATATGACCTTAATGAACCTAAAAGACAATTGGGGTACAAGGAAACTATCTGCACATGTAATAGACAAGTGGTTGCCATGTGTTTATCCTATGAAGAGCTGTTACCAGTTGATGTGTCCAGGTTCTTGGCGTCTTGAACAAAGAATTGGACAAAACGCACAAAGCAAGGAAAGAATGAAGCAAAAACAGAGATTTATTGAAGATGAAAGTACACCCCATAGGTTGGGAGCGCCCGAGGATAGGGGCTCAAGAGTGCCGTTAGAGAATGTTCTGGGGTTTAAATGCCAGCTAGAGGTTTCCATTGGTTACTTGGCTTATGCCCTATGTAAATGAAGAGGATGAAGTAAATTTTAAAGTCATTTACTGGATATAAGCCCTGTGTAAATGGAGAGGATGTTTCCTGTCATTGCTGAAGTACTGCAATTTGATTTAGTTCCAGGAAGTCAGCATGAATCGGCCTTAACATTCCCTGCCTCCAGACCCTATTCTGCCTCAGAACTACATGTCCATTAGTAAAAGGCAAACCAGAAAAATTATGACCAAGGATATAAACAGGCAAGGCAAATTATAGAAGGTAGTCAAATGGCAAAAACACATCACCAATATTCAGAACGAAATCTTGAACAATGAATTCAATGGCAGATTGTAACCAATTTTTTAAGCAGTAATAAAAATTTACACTTACTGATCAATTATTATGTTCCAGTCAGTGTTGAGGTCTTTTATATTTTATTTAATTACCCTAAAATGTAGGCTCCAGGAAAACAAGGACCAAAATTTAGTTGTTGGCCCTTGAATCCTCACTCTAGCACAGTTTACTTGTTAATGATTTGTCTCCCCCTACTAGAGAGCTAGCTCTCTAAGGGCAGGAGCCTTGTCTATTTCCTTCCCTGCTATTTCTCCAGCCACACAGTGTGTCTCACCAAGATAAGTTCAGTAAATGTGAAATAAATTAACAAATAATGGGAAAAAAATGGAGAATTATGGTACTTCATACCAGGAATTACAGGCATACCTCCTTTTATTGTGTTTAGCTTTATTGTGCTTTACAGATACCGCTTTTACAAATTGAAAGTTTGTGGCAAGCCTGCATCAAGCAGGTCTATCTGCAACATTTTTCCGAAAGCGTGTACCTGCTTCGTGTCTCTGCGTCATATTTTGGTAATTTTCACAATACTTCAAATATTTCCATTAATATATTCATTACAATCTGTGATTAGTGATTCTTAATGTTACTCTTGTCATTGTTTTGGGGTGCCACCAGCCATGCCCTTATAAGACGGCAAACTTAATAGATCAATGTTGTGTGTTTCTTACTGCCCCGGGACCAGTACATTCTCCTGTTTCTCTCTCCCCGTGGGCCTCCCTATTCCCTAAGACACGACAGTATTGAAATTAGGCCATTTTATATTCCTACAATGGCCTCTAAGTGTTTAAGTGAAAGGAAGAACTGCATGTGTCTCACTTTAAATCAAAAGCTAGAAATGATCAAGATTAGTGAGAAAGTTTTGTCAAAAGAAAGCTAGGCTTTTTGTATCAGTTAGCCAAGTTGTGAATGCAAAGCAAAAGTTCTTTAAGAAAACTGAAAGTGCTACTCCACTAAACACATGAATGATAAGAAAGATAAACAGCCTTATTGCTATGAAGAAAGTTTGAGTGGTCCGTGTAGAAGATCCAGTTAGCCACAACATTTCCTTGAACCAAAGCCAGATCCAGAGCAAGGCCCTGATTCTGAATTATCTTAAAGTCTGGGAGAAATGAGTAAACTGCAGAAGAAAAGTTTGAAGATAGCAGAGGTTCATGTGGTTTAAGGAAAGAAGCCATCTCCGTAACATAAAAGAGCAAGGTGAAGTTGCAAGTACTGATGAAGAAGCTGTAGCAAGTTGACCAGAAAATCTAGCTAAGATCATTGATGAAGGTGGCCATTTTTCATGGAGATGAAACAACCTTCTATTGGAAGAAGATGACATCTAAGACTTTGATAGCTAGAGAGGAAAAGTCAATACTTGGCTTCAAAGTTTCAAAGGCCAGGCTGACTCACTTGTTAAGGCCTAATGTAGCTGGTGGTTGTCAGTTGGAGCCAGTGCTTGTTTACCATTTTGAAAATCCTAGGGCCCTTAAGAATTATGCTAAATCTGGCCAGGCACGGTGGCTCATGCAGATCACGAGGTCAGGAGTTCGAGACCAGCCTGACCAACATGATGAACCCTTGTCTCTACTAAAAATACAAAAATTAGCTGGGCATAGTGGCAGGTGCCTGTAATCTCAGCTACTCAGGAGGCTGAGGCAGGAGAATCGCTTCAACCTGGGAGGTGGAGGTTTCAGTGAGCTGAAATTGGGCCTGCACTCCAGCCTGGGTGACAGAGAGAGACTCCGTCTCAAAAAAAAAAAAAAAAAAAAAAAAAGAATTATTCTAAATCTACTCTGCCTGTATCTAGAAATGGAACAACGAAGCCTGAATGGCAACACATCTGTTTACAACATGGTTTACTGAATATTTTAAACCCACTATTTTACTGCTCAGAAAAAAAAAATCCTTTACAAATATTACTGTTCATTAATAGTGCACCTGGTCACCCAAAAACTCTGATGGAGATTAATGATTTCATGCCTGCTAACACATCCATTCTGCAGACCATGGATCAAGGAGTGATTTCTACTTTCAAGTCTTATCATTTAAAAAACACATTTTGTAATGCTGTGGTGCCATAGATAGTGATTCCTCTGATGGATCTGGGTACAGTACATTGGAAACCTTCTAGAAAGAATTTGCCATTCTAGATACCATTAAGAACATTCATGATTCATGGGAGGAGGTCAAAATATCCAAATTAATAGAAGTTTGGAAGAAGTTGATTCCAATCCTCATGGCTGACTTTGAGAGGCTCAAGACTTCAGTAGAGGAAATAACTGCAGATGTGGTAGAAATAGCAAGAGAACTAGAATTAGAAGTGGCGCCTGAAGATGGAACTGAATTGCTGCAATCTCATGATCTTTGCTCACGGCAACCTCTGCCTCTTAGGTTCCAGTGATTCTCATGCCTCAGCCTCCTGAGTAGCTGGGACTACAGATGTGTGCCAACATGCCTGGCTAACTTTTGTAATTTTAGTAGAGATGGGGTTTCACCATGTTGGCCAGGCTGGTCTCAAACTCCTGGCCTCAAGAAATCCACCCATGCCTCCCAAAGTGGTGAGATTACAGGTGTGAGCCACCACACCTGGCCAATATACCATATATTTTGAACACCACCAGTACAAGAAAATGAGGGTAGAGCCACAGAATATTTGGTGAGGAAGACAGAAGAGCCTTCTTTGTATCCTGGAGAAAACTATGTAACTTACTACTTGGAGTTCCTTCCTACTTTGTGGAGTCATACTGTGGACCTGTTTACCATCAGTATTAACCTTTTTGGGATCATAGAATCAATTGAAAATTTGTTTGAAGATTTGGAACCTCTCCCCTGAAAATTGTTCCATGTATGTATGTATGCATGCATGCTTATATTTATTCTGCTTTCCTTGGAAGCCCCAAATATACTAAAGGTTAACAATAATTGCTCATTAAATTTCTTTTAATATACATTTTTATAAACATCTTAAACTTCTTTAATATACTTATTGAAAAAATATGTATTAATGTAATAAAAAAAGTACATAAAATAAAAATTGATATCACTCTCACCCTACTGGCTCCTACCTACTACACCCCTTTTTCTCAGAGGTCATTTTAACAATTCAGTTTCTATGACTTTCCAAATCCATTTTCTATGAATCATCAAAAACAGAAGTGAGACTATTCTACCATTTACATTTACAAAATTTACTCTGTTGTGGACATTTTTCCACATGATGCCATATTTATCTAGCTCATTCTTTTTAATACAGCCATGACTTGGAAATACTGTGGGTTTGATTCCAGATACCACAATTAAGTAAGCTGCACAAATTTTGGGGTTTCCTAGTGCATATAAAAATTACCTTAGGGCGGCCGGGCATGGTGGCTCACACCTGAAATCCCAGCATTTTGGGAGGCTGAGGCAGGTGGATCACAAGGTCAGGAGATCGAGACCATCCTGGCTAACAAAGTGAAACTCCGTCTCTACTAAAAATACAAAAAATTAGCCGGGCACGGTGGCAAGCGCCTGTAGTCCCAGCTACTCAAGAGGCTGAGGCAGGAGAATGGCGTGAACCCGGGAGGCGGAGCTTGCAGTGAGCCGAGATTGCACCACTGCACTCCAGCCTGGGCGACAGAGCGAGATTCCGTCTCAAAAAATAAAAAAATTATTTTAGGGCTGGGCGCGGTGGCTCACGTCTGTAATCCCAGCACCGTGGGAGGCCGAGGAGGGCGGATCATGAGGTCAGGAGTTCAAGACCAGTCTGGCCAACATAGTGAAACCCTGTCTCTACTAAAAATACAAAAAATTAGATGGGTGTGGTGGTGTGCACCTGTAATCCCAGCTACTCGGTAGGCTGAGGCAGGAGAATCACAGTACCTTAACACTATCCTGTAGTTGCCCAGGCTAGAGTGCAGTGGCACAATCTTGGCTCACTGCAACCACTGCTGTCCAGGCTCAAGTGATCCTCCCACCTCAGCCTCCTGAGTAGCTGGGACTACAGGTGTGCACTACCACACCCAGATCATTTTTGTATTTTTTGTAGAGACAGGGTTTCGCCATGTTGCCCAGCTGGCCTCAGATCGTGAGCTCAAGCACTCCACCCACCTGGGTACTGTAATCCCAAAGTGCTGGGATTACAGGCATGGGCCACTGCGCCTAGCCCAAGCAGCTTCTTTACTTGCGTTCCTCAGAAGATGTTTAAAAGTGAATAATGTGTTATAAACCCCAAATGATATTGGTGATAGTGTGCAGTATTTTCAAAACTTATTTCACTGCAAAGCACTTTTATTATAGCATTGTTTGGAATAATATTATATTTTTTTTTAATTTTTTTTTTTTTAATGACAGGGTCTCCAGGCTGGAGTGCAGTGGCGTGATCTTGACAATTAAGGAGATGGCTTTATTCAGGCTATTGCAATAAGCAGAACACCCTAGGCCCTAATGTCAGAGTGTCTTGGCAGTGTGATTTTCCTTTAGATCTTTTTGTTTGTTTGTTTGTTTTTAGCATAGAAACGGCATCTCACTCTGCCTCCCAGGCTGGTCTGCGGTGGCATGATCCGAGTTCACTGCAGCCTCAAATTCCTGGGCTCAAGCCATCTTCCTGCCTCAGCCTCCTGAGTAGCTCGAATTATAGGTGCATGCCACCACACCTGGCTCTTTTTTTTTTTTGTAGAGACAGGGCCTTGCTATGTTGGCCAGGCTCCTCTTGATCTCATGCCCTCAAACAATCCTGTCATCTCCACCTGCCAAAGCACTGAGATTACAGGCATGAGCCACTGTGCCCAGCCCTTCTTAGACTTTTATAGGAAGTAGTAGACGTGGGGCGATTGCCATTTGGGGTTATTTTGCAATCAGGGGAAGTCCCGGTCAGTTGGCGGAACAGGAAATGTTTATGTCTGTGTTTGGCTAGTTTCAAACAGACAAACTGTTCTAATCTCTGCTAAATCATTTATGAGACCAACAACGGGGTCTTGGAGTGTTCATGACTGACCTTCTCAACAGGTCAGGCAAAAACAAAGGAGTCATCTGAGGGTATTACAGAAGCCAGGAGAAAGAGACACAGAGTCTTATCTACCTCATGTGAGAAAGGGTAGTTCTCTGAGGTAATTCATTCCTGGAACACAAAAGGCGGGGCTAGGGATGGGTTTCAGGAAACAAAAGGGTGAAGGAATTTCTCAGTCATCACTGTTTTTCAGTACAGGGCTCAGGCAATGTTAGAAGCTTCCTGAAAGTTTCACACTATACTTTTGCTTAAAACAAATTGTGACTTGAACATATACATATATATATATATAAATCTGTGAAGGATTCATTAGCCACCATAAGGTCTACGTATCACACAGCAATGTCTACTGTATCATAGAATAAATATAAACTAAATCAGTACTATCATTTATTTAATCTATGGATAATATTTAGTACATAAAACTTTGGGGACACCTGGTAATCACTCTGTGAACTCCCAGGCATCAACACCCTACAGGCTGGAAGTCACTGGCATAATAGAAAGCATCCTTGTTTTAGGAGTCAGCAACCTAGCCCTCAGTAATGAAGAGAACAAACTCCTTTCTTGTTTGTTAAACCACTCTTCTGTTTGTGAAAGTTCTATCTTGTTTAAACCACTCTTATTTAGTTGGGTTTTTCTGAGGGGCGAGGGGGCAAGAGTTGGTTATATGATACTCACCCTTTGTCCTAATTGATACATCTATTAACAAATGATGGCAAATTGATCTAGAGTGAACAGAGTGAAAAGATTTGGAAAATATTTTGGGACCAGAATTGACATTTTGGTTATGCATTAAATATATGGTGTGAGAGATTTGACTCCTAAATTTTTAGCTTTTGCAACAAAGCATGTAGTAGTTTCATTTACTAAGATGGGGGAAGACAAAACTAGTTAAAGGGGAGGAAAATAAATTTTAAATGAATACTATATGGTCAGGTGTGGTGGCTCACGCCTGTAATCCTAGCACTTTGGGAGGCCGAGGCTGGCAGATCACCTGAGGTCAGAAGTTCGAGACCAGCCTGAACAACATGGTGAAACCCCGTCTCTACTAAAAATACAAAAATTAGCCGGGTGGGGCGGTGGGTGCCTGTAATCCCAGCTACTTGGGAGGCTGAGGCGAGAGAATTGCTTGAACCCAGGAGGCAGAGGTAGCAGTGAGCCGAGATTGTGCCACTGCACTCCAGCCTGGGCCACAGAATGAGACTCCATCTCAAAAACAAAAAACAAAAACAAAATGAATGCTATAATAAATTTACTTAAAAACCTCACCTAATTTATGGCAATCTTGATGATTATGTATATTTCAATCAATAGATTTTAGAAGTTAGCAAAGCTTACAGAAGTATATACCCAAAGGAAGAAAAATCATTCTACCATAAAGACACATGCTCATATATGGTCATCACAGCACTATTAACAATAGCAAAGACATGAATCAGCCTAAATGCCCATCAATGATAGACTGGATAAAGAAAGTGTGGTACATATATGTCACAGAATACTATGAAGCCATAAAAAAAGAATAAGGTCATGTACTTTGCAGCAACATAGATGAAGATGGAGGCCATCATCCTCAGTGAATTAACGCGGGAACAGAAAACCAAATATCACATGTTCTCACTTATAAGTGGGAACTAAGCATTGAGTACATATGGACCCAAAGAAGAGAACAAAAGACACATGTGCCTACTTGAGGATGGATAGTGGAGTTGGGTGAGGATTGAAAAACGACCTATTGGGTACTATGCTTACTATCCAAGTGATGAAATAATCTGTACACCAACCCCCCATGACACACAACTTACTGGTATAACAAACCTGCACATGTACCCCAAACCTAAAATAAATAAAAGTTTAAAAAACATTTCTAATCCCACCATTAGAAAAATAAAGTATAAGGCGGGGCGCAGTGGCTCATGCCTGTAATCCCAGCACTTTGGGAGGCTGAGGCAGGAGGATCATGAGGTCAGGAGACTGAGACCATCCTGGCTAACATGGTGAAACCCCGTCTATCCTAGAAATACAAAAAATTAGCCAGGCATGGTGTTACGCGCCTGTATTCCCAGCTACTCGGGAGGCTGAGGTGAAGAATCGCTTGAACACGGGAGGAGTAGGTTGCAGTGAGCCTAGATCACACCACTGCACTCCAGCCTGGGCAACAGAGTAAGACTCTGTCTCAAAAAAAGAAATAAATAAATTTTAAAAATAAGAAAAAGAAAGTATAATATAAATTGGTTCCTTTTTAAAAAGGCTTTTATAAATAAAAACTCTTCCTATTTTCTTAAATGAGAAGACTTGTGATGTTAAAGAAACAATAAAATAAAAATCCCTGACCAGGCATGGTGGCTCACGCCTGTAGTCCCAGCACTTTGGGAGGCCAAGGCAGGCAGATCACGAGATCAGGAGTTCGAGACCAGCTTGGCCAACATGGTGAAACCCCGTCTCTACTAAAGATACAAAAAATTAGCTGGGCACGATGGCACGCACCTGTAATCCCAGCTACTCGTAAGACTGAGGCAGGAGAATCGCTTGAACCCAGGAGGCAGAAGTTGCAGTGAGCCGAGATCATGCCATTGTATGCCAGCCTGGGTGACAGGGCGAGACTCCATCTCAAAAAAAAAAAAAAGAAAAAAAATCCCCAAGTAAATCTAATAAATGTAATACAATACTTTTCAAAGTCTCAAAAATATGTTTCATGGAAACTTTTTCCTGCTATGTATAGAAAACCATATATTATCATGATAATTAAAACTATGTAGCATTGGCATAGAAATAGTTATATAGCTTGATAGAACAAAATAGAGTTCAGAAACAAAGTAATATATGTGGGAATTTAATTTATGATAAAGGTGACGTTTTACCATAGAGGGAAAAGTATAGTGGTGTATTTAATAAATATTCTTGATATAATTATCTATACATGGAAGTGAGCAAAAGTCAATTTCTACTTCATGCCATACAAGATACATTTCTAAAAGCTAAATATAAAAGTCAAATCCAATTATTGAAAAAAGATTTTTAAGAAAATTTGTATAGTGAAGAGCTTCCACAATAATCACAAAACTCGTAAGTCAACTCAGATTTGACTAAAAAATTTAAACTTCTATAGAGTATAAAACAAAATTAAGAGAGATGCAACACATAAGAAGGAAATACATGCCACATAAATATATAACAGGCAAAATCCTACTATCCAGAACATCAAAAGAGCTTCTGCAAAGCAATAAGAAAAAGACAAAGATCAGATCATGGAAGAAAAAAAATACGAAATGCCAATAAATACATCAAAGATTCTCAACTCTCTAATCATCACTGGAAATAAAAACTAAAACAATAAAAAATTTTAATTAAAGAATAAAAAAGATTAATAATATCTAACGTCTAAGAGGACTTGCAAAAGTGGTGTTTTCATACACCTTGGTGTATTCTAAATGGGTAAAAATCCTTTTCAGGTAAGTGACTTTGATAATATCTATCATTAATTTAAATGTGCATCTCTGATACAGCCATTCCATTTGTCAGAATCCATCATTATCATTCAGCTGGAATTTTATAAATTTCATTAATCTTCTGAAAAGATGCTTTTTAAATTTCATTAATCCTTTCAATTTTTTTTCTACTTTATAAATTTGAATATTTTCCTTCTACTTGTTTTGGATTTGATTTGCTCTTCCTTTTTAGCTTTTTAAGTTGGAAGGTTAGGTTTTTGGTTTTAGATTCTTTTCACCAAATATAAGCATTTAAATCTAGAAATTTTAAAGCATTTCAAAAGTTTAATATGTTGTGCATTGATTATCATTCAGTTCCAAATATTTTCTAATTTCATTTATGATTTGTTTTCTTTGGTTTATGCACAATTTAGAAGTGTGATACTTAATGTCCAAATAATTTTGCATTTTCTAGCTATCTTTTTGTTGTTGAGTTTCGGTTTTATTCTACCATTGTCTGAGAACATACATTGCATATTTCCACAGACTTGTTTTATGTCCTGGCATATAATCTATCTTAGTGAATTTTCCACTTGTAAAAAAAATTGTGTTGTTTTCTGTAGTGTTCTGTACATGTTTATTATATCAAGTTAAATGATAGGATTGTTCATGTCACGTATATTGCTACTGAGTTTTTCTCTAATTGTTATATCAATTACTAAGAAAGTAGTGTTTAACTTTCCAACTAAACTTGTGTATTTGTCTATTTCTCCTTTTAGTTTTATCAGCTGTTACTTCATTTATTTTGAAACTACAGTCAAGCACAGCATAACAATGTTTTGGTTAGCAACAGACAGCATATATGATGGTGGTCCCGTAAGTTTATAATACCATGTTTTTACTATACCTTTTAATGTTCACATATGTTTAGTTGCACAGATACTTGCCATTGTGTTACAGTTGCCTGCGTATTCAGTGCAGTAACACGTTATACATTTTGCAGCCTAGGAGCAATGGGCTATACCATATAACCTAGGTGTGTAGTAGGCTGTATCATCTATGTTTGTGTAAGCACATTCTGTGATGTTTGCACAACTACAAAATTGCCAAGTGATGCATTTCTGAGAACTTATCTCCATCATTAAGCAATGCATAATGATTAGGTATAGTCACACTTATGATTGTTAAATCTTGCTGATGTATTGACCATTTTTTCATTATAAAATGTCTTTTTAAGATCTCTGTTAATATTCCTTTTCCAGAAGTCTACTTTGTCAAATACTAATATAAGCACTCTAGCTTTCTTATGATTATATTGCATTTCCATGGAATATAATTTTCTATCCATTTACTTTTAACCTATCTTTGCCTTTGTGTTATTTTTAAATTTCAGCTTTTATTTTAGATTCAAGGGGATACATGTACAGGTTTGTTACCTAGGTATATCACATGATGCTGAGGTTTGGGGTACAACTGATCCCATCCCCCAGGTACTGAGTGTAGTATCCAATAGTTAGTTTTTCAACCCTTGCCCCACCTCCCTTCTTCCCCTTTTAATAGTCTCAAGTGTCTATTTTCACCATCTTTATGTCCGTGAGTACCCAATGTTTAGTTCCCAATTATAAGTGAGAATGTGCAGTATTTATTTTTCTTTCCCTGTGTTAATTCCAATATCCTGCTTAGGATAATGGGCTCCAGCTGTATGCATGTTGCTACAAAGAACATGATTTCATTCTTTTTTACAGCTGTGCCATATTCCATGGCATATATGCATATGTTTTCTTTATCCAACCCACCATTGATGGGCACCTAGGTTGATTCCATGTCTTTGCTATCGTGTACTGTATTGCAAGGAACATGCAAGTGCATGAATTCTTTTGGTGGAACAATTTATTTTCTTTTAGATATGTACCTGGTGATGGAGTTGCTGTGTCAAATGGTTGTCCTGTTTTAAGTTCTTTGAGAAATCTCCAAATTGCTTTCCACAATGGCTAAAGAAATTTGCATTTTCACCAACAGTATGTAAGTGTTCTCTTTTCTCCACAGCCTCACCAGTATCTGTTGTTTCTTGACGTTTTAATAATAGCTATTCTGCCCAATATGAGATAGCATCCCAGTATGGATTGATTTGCACTTCTCTGATGATTAGTGATGTGGAGCATTTTTTCATGTTTGTTGACTGCTTGTATGTCTTCTTTTCAGAAGTGTCTGTTCTTACTTTTTGCCCATTTTTTAAATGAGTTTGTTTTTTGCTTCTTCAATTGTTTAAGTTTCTTATGGATTCTGGATATTAGACCTTTGTCAGATGCATATTTTGTGAATATCTTCTCCCATTGTGTAGGCTGTCTGATTACTCTGCTAAAAGTTTCTTTTGCTGTGCAGAATCTCTTTAGTTTAATTAGGTCCCATTTGTCTATTTTTGTTTTTGTTGCAATCGCTTTTGAGGATTTAGTCATAAAGTAATTCCCAAGGTCAATGTCCAGAATGGTGTTTCCTAGGTTTTCTTTTGGATTCCTGTAGTTCGAGGTCTTCCACTTAAATCTTTAATCCTCTTGAGTTAAATTTTGTAACTGGTGGCCGGGCGTGGCGGCTCACGCCTGTAATCCCAGCACTTTGGGAGGCCGAGGCAGGCAGATCACGAGGTCAGGAGATCGAGACCATCCTGGCTAACATGGTGAAACCCCATCTCTACTAAAAATACAAAAAATTGACCGGGCACGGTGGCTCATGCCTGTAATCCCAGCACTTTGGGAGGCCGAGACGGGCGGATCGCGAGGTCAGGAGATCGAGACCATCCTGGCTAACATGGTGAAACCCCGTCTCTACTAAAAATACAGGAAATTAGCTGGGTGTGGTGGCCGGGCGCCTGTAGTCCCAGCTACTCGGGAGGCTGAGGCAGGAGCATGGCGTGAACCCGGGAGGCGGAGCTTGCAGTGAGCCGAGATCATGCCACTGCACTCCAGTCTGGATGACAGAGCAAGACTCTGTCTAAAAAAAAAAAAAAAAAAAAATTTGTAAATGGTGAGAGGTGGGGGTCTAGTTTCATTCTTTTGCAGATGGCTAGCCAGCTATCCCAGCACCATGTATTGAATAGTGAGTACTTTCCCCATTGCTTATTTTTGTCAACTTTGTTGAAGATCACATTACTGCTATTGGCTTTATTTCTGGGTTCTCTATTCTGTTCCATTGGTCCACGTGTCTGCTTTTTTACCAGTACCCTGCTGTTTTGGTTACTGTAGCCTTATTGTATAGTTTGAAGTTGGGTAATGTGATGCCTCTGGATTTGTTCTTTTTGCTTAGGGTTGCTTTGGCCATTCGGCCTCTTTTTTTGGTTCCATATGAATTTTAAAAGAGTTTTTTCCTAGTTCTGTGAGAAAGGACATTGGTAGTTTGATAGGGATAGCATTGAATCTGTAGATTGCTTTGGACAGTATGGCCATTTTAATGATCATTTTAATCATATTGATTAGTCCAATTCATAATCCTTGTTTGTGTCATCTATGATTTCTTTAAGCAATGTTTTATAATTCCCCTTGTAAAGATATTTCACCTCCTTGGTTAGATAGATTCCTAGGTATTTTATTTTTAGTTTTTGTTGCTATTGTAAATGGGATTGCATTCTTGACTTGGCTCTCAATTTGAACATTATTATTATTATAATTATTTTTTAAAGAGAAAGGCTGACTGCCACATGCAGTGCCTCATTCAGATGTGTCTGGAGTCTTGGAAGCTTTACTACCCTATGTTCTCCTACAAATGGATTTTGAGAGCTTGTTTGGAGGTTCTAGCAGGGAGTGCAGCCATTGGTACACCCTTGAGTGAAAACAAGTCCTCCTCTGTCAGGGATGGTCATCCTCTTTGACCAACCGCACAGCTTTGGGAGGAACACACATGGAGCTGTGAGGGAGAAAGGGGACACCTGCCTAGCCAGCCAGATCAGCTGAATCAACCCTGGTGATTAATGGGGTGACAGATGTCACAACCAGATCGCCCTCACCTCTGAGTTTGAACATTATTGGTGTATAGAAATGCTACTGATTTTTGTATATTGATTGTGTATCCTGAAACTTTACTGAAGTTGTTTATCAGCTTCAGGAGTTTTTGACAGTCTTTAGGGTTTTCAAGGTATGTAATTCTATATATAATGTGTGTGTGTTTTATTTTTTAAAAAATGTTTCTTTTATCATAGGTTTTCAGCAATTTGATTGTGACAGTTTATTTGTTTGTAGCCTACTTGTACTTTATTGAGCTTCTCAAATCTGTGGGTTCAGAGTTGTAATCAAGTTAAGAATATTTCTAACCATTATTTCTTAAATAGTTTTTTCTTTCTCTGTTACCTCTTTCTGCCACTCCCAGTACACATATGTTATACTGTCTGATATTGTCTCAAAATTCATAAAAGTCCATTCATTTCCTGTCAGTCTTTTTTCTCTTTGTGCTTTGGTTTGGATAGTTTCTATTGCTATATGTTGAAGTTCAATGAATTTTTCTGTTGCAATTTCTTATCTTTGGATATATAAGTCCTTTGACTTTTTTATTTCAGTTATTGTATTTTTCAACACAAGAAGTTCCATTTATTGTTGTAAAAATATCTTCCATTTTCCTTTTTTTTTTTTTTTTTTTTGAGATGGAGTCTCACTCTGTTGCCAGGCTGGAGTGCAGTGGTGCAATCTCAGCTCACTACAACCTCTGCCTCCCGCGTTCAAGCAATTCTCCCACCTCAGCCTCCTGAGTAGCTGGGACTACAGGCGTGTGCCACCATGCCAAGCTAATTTTTGTATTTTTAGTAGAGACAGGGTTTCACCATGTTGGCCAGGATGGTCTTGATCTCTTGACCTCATGATCCACCTGCCTCGGCCTCCCAAAGTGTTGGGATTACAGGCATGGGCTACCACGCCCAGCCCTCCATTTTTCTTTAAATCCTTGCACATAATTATAATAACTGTTTTAGAGTCTCTATCTGCTAATTCCGTTGCCCCTGCCATTTCAGGATCTCTTTATTGCCCTTTTGCTTTTCTTCCTGGTATAGATCAAGTATTTCTTCTTCTTTGAATATCTAGCAATTTTTGTTTAGATGATGGACATTATAATTTTTATGTGGTTGAGTGTCTGAATCTTGTTTTCTCCCTTTAATGATCTTAAAGTTTGTTTTGGTAAACAGTTCAGTTAAATGTGGATCAGCTGTACTCTTTGGAGGTTTGTCTTCAGGCTTTGTTAGTATGGGTCTATGCTACCCTTTACTTTAGGACTATTTAGTGCTAGTACTAAGGCATGCCTCTTGTGAGATCTCTATTGAATGTCCTGTGAAGTTAACAGCATCTTTTCCTTTTTGGGTGGTAGGAACTCTAGTATTTCCAAACCTGGTATGAAACCTGGAAATTGTTCAGCTTATAATTTTCTGGCTATTATACTTTGACTGGTTTTATAGAGTTTTACTTAACACATGTCTAAAATTGAAAAATATTAGAATGGATCTTTCTGCAGAGTTCTGGAGCTTTTTTTTTTTTTTTTTTTTTTGACACAGAGTCTTGCTCTGCCACCCAGGCTGGAGTGCAGTGGCATGATCTCGGCTCACTGCAACCTCCGCCTCCCAGGTTCAAGCGATTCTCCTGTGTCAGCCTCCAGAGTAGCTGGGATTACAGGCATGCACCACCACACACGGCTAATTTTTGTATTTTTAGTAGACACGGGGTTTCACGGTGTTGGCCAGGCTGGTCTTGAACTCCTGACCTCAGGTGATTCTCCCATCTCGGCCTCCCAAAGTGCTGGGATTACAGGCATGAGCCACCATGCCCAGCCTGGAGCTCTTTTTCTGCATGGTTCCCTGGTACTCTGCCCTTAAAATACCTGCCACTTTGAATTCCTAAAATTCTTATCTCTTATCTTTTCATCTCAGTGAAGGTGTTGGCTTTACTTTTCCCTCCCTATGCTGTAGTCTGAAAATTAGCTCCAGATGGGATGCTGAGATGATCATAGGGCTATTTTGGTTTTATTTTTTCCCCCCACCCCTCAAGGATCACAGTTCTGCTCTGTGTGTTGTTTCATATATTTTGCCTAGTTTTCTAGCTGTGTATGCGGGAAGGCAAGTCCTTTACTATATACTTTTTTTTTTTTTTTTTTTTTGAGACAGAGTCTTGCTTTGTTGCCAGGCTGAAGTGCAATGGCACAATCTCGGCTCACTGCAACCTCCATCTCCCGGGTTCAAGTGATTCTTCTATCTTAGGCTCTCGAGTAGCTGGGATTACAGGCACTCGCCACCAAGCCCGGCTAATTTTTGTATATTTAGTAGAGACGGGTTTTCACCATGTTAGCCAGGATGGCCTCAAACTCCTGACCTCGTGATCTGCCCACCTTGGCCTCCCAAAGTGCTGGGATTACAGGCATGAGCCACTGCACCTGGCCACCATATACTTTTACATGGAAGGAAGTAGAAGTTATTTCTAGTAAGTTTAAGATTAAAACTTAATTTCTGAAAAGTTCGTTAGAAACTCCGTGTTCATGGTCAGGAGTTTCTGACTGTTGGATACACAATAGAACGGGTAATTGATTTCATTACCCTTCCCAATAAAAGTCATTATCTGTAGAACCTTTCTATTGGGCATCTTATTTTGAAACTCAGCTATTCCTGAGTTCAGGTCTTTTTTGGTTAAGTGTCTTCAGAAGATAAACCTTTGATTTTCTCTTAGGGTGGTCCAGCAATTCTCTCTTTTTTTCTGTTGTTTAATAGTATTCTGAAGATATTTTTCACTTACTTTTGATATTTTCAGAATTAGTTTTAATTTAAAATCTGCTTGATCTTTTATTCATACTGTTTTATGTTATTACGCTGCCTATCTTTCTTTTACTTCTTTAATCACTTTAGGTTTATTTTGTAGTCTTTTTCAGATTGTTATATTATCTGTACTTTGTAGGTGTTAATACTCCTGTTGGTTGTATTACAAATAACAAATATTGTTATTTGTTTCCTTATATGTTTTAAAATTTGTGATTATGTGTAAGCAGCAGTTTTTTATTTGCTTATGACTGCAGCCTTTGGATTTTATATACATATGTATATGCATATATATACATATACACCTATATATACATGCATATACACACATACATAAAGCATATTCATACATCTATTTATATATATTTATACACTTATATATTTAAATTTAATCAGCGTTTCAATTTATCTATAGATGCATCTTCCATATCAGTTTAGTCTGAAATATGGCTGAAATATGCCTGGAATTTCTTTGAAATGTTGGGATGATTATGTACATTTGGGTGTGCTTGTATGTAAGCAAGGGAGAGGAGGAGTAAAAAAAGAACAGTTTTGTTTTAAATTACAGAGAAAAGGTAGTACACTTATTAGTGAATTCACATTCCTTCTCTGCATCAGAACTACTCTTCCCTTGTGAAACTTGATTACCTCTTCCTTGTACACATGTATCCAGCCACACACTGAGTTATTTTAAATGTACCACCTAAAAATTTCTCCAAGTTGTACGCTACTTTCTCCTTATTTCAGAGCTTTAATATACTTCAATGGATTTAGGCAATATTTCCTAAAAACGAAACAAAAATCCCTACATTCTGTCGTGTTCCCTCTTGTCCTACGTGGACTGCATAGGGATCTCTCTTAAACACAAGTCTGATCATGTCATTTCTCGCCTGAAATGATTGAATAGTTTCCAACTACTCTTTGGATAAAGGTGAAAATCCGTAACATGTCCCAAAGACCAGCATGTTCTGTTCTTGACTCATTCTATAGCCTCATATACGACATTTCTTCAGCACACTAACCTTTCAGTTCCTCGGGTGCACCAAGTTCCCTTCCACACACTACTCACTCTGCTTATAATATTTCAGAAAATTACAATTAAATAGGCCGGGCACGGTGGCTCACGCCGGTAATCCCAGCACTTTGGGAGGCTGAGGCAGGCGGATCACAAGGTCAGGAGTTCCAGACCAGCCTGGCAAATATGGCGAAACCCCGTCTCTATTAAAAATACAAAAAAAAAAAAAAAATTAGCCGGGCGTGGTGTCACATGCCTGTAATCCCAGCTACTTGGGAGGCTGAGGCAGGAGAATCACTTGAATTCGGGAGGTGAAGGTTGCAATTAGCCAAGATCGCACCACTGCACTCCAGCCTAGGCGACAGAGTGAGACTCCATCTCAAAAAAACAAGAAAAGAAAAGAAAAGAAAAGAAAATTACGATTAAATTCTTAATCCTATAATATTTTAATTAAATGTCTCCATAAACTGTAAGTTCCAGGAAGGCAGGAACCAGTCTTGTTCCAGTTCTTAAGCAGGTACTTGGGACACAAAATATACTCAATAAATATTTGTTTAAAGAAGGAAAGTTGAAAAGAAGGACATGAAATAGCAAGGGATTTAATTTGAACGAGCTTTTGTTAACGTGAAATTGATCCAACTATAAACTAAGGTAAATAATTGACAATACATTCCATTCTATTTTGATAAGAAAGGAAAATAAATGAACTTGTTTTCTCTCCTCAGTAAAGAAAAAAGACATTTAGAAAGAGGACTTAAGGAATAGAAGTGGAAGTATAAGCATTTTACTACCTTCTTATTTTCACTAATTCACTTATCATGGAATGAATTTTAAAGTTGCAACTTGAGATCCTGAGACAATTTCTTCCTACCACTACCAATACAGCCAGTTCCGCTTAGTATGACTTATTATGTTTTTGGAACATTGTTTTAATAAAGTAGCAACTTTTGGGGGTAGTTTATAATAATAAAGAATTATATAGGTCTAAGTTTTATAAGAGAAAAGAAAGAATTATAACCTCTCATTTTTAGTTTGCCATTGTGCCTTTTTTCCCTTTTTCCCCTAAAGTAGAGTTTTTAATTAGCATTCTGCTTTTCAATTAATAAAAACATTGTGTATATTCAGGCGCCTTATACAAAATTATTGATCCTTACAGTAGAGGGCAGCAGAGGAGCACATCTCAAGACAAAAATCCTGGGATACATCCCAAGTCCCCTTGTTAAGGCTCCCCTTGGAATGATGTGTGGCTAGGTCATTAAGAGGAAGACAAGCAATTTGAGAAGATAGAAGTTGAGAAGCGATAGTGACTATGAGGTGGCTAAATATCTCAAAATTTGGAAAACTCAAAGAATTTTATATGTCTTGATTTTTGAACATATATATTTTATATCTTATTCCCCTGGACAGAAATATGCATGATGTGCATAATATTATTAACGGTAGCAGACCCTGGCTTTTCTTACTTTCTGTCTTTAATGGTTCACCCTTGCTTTTATTGAAAACCCAAAAGTGATGAGTTTTAAATGGGTTTGTGTTTATTACACAGATGAAGGGAGTTTAAGTATAAGCTGTAAACATTTTTGATCCTTCTAAAGATCATACTTAGGAATTAATTTCTATGTTTTGTCATCTAATATTTTTCTTGTTTGCTTGAGTGAACTAGGAAGGTTACTGAACTTAGAGAAAGAAATATATTCTGTGGCATTGTATACCTTGGACTATGAGACACGGCAAATCACAGAGGCAAAGCACATGCCAAATGACTCCAAAGATACTTCTGTTGACTGAGAAGCAGTGCAATGCAGTGTTCAGCTACGACGAGGCTATCAAATGAGAATATGTAGGTTTCATGGAATTTATATAAAGCCCTAAAGTCGGTAAAGCTTGAGAGATGGAGCTATCATTTATTTTTTAGCTTCCCTGTCACAGGAGGAATTAGAAGTTGAAAGGAAAGCAAGTGCGATGTTCTGGTTTATATACTTGGTTGTACTTTTAGGCCAATCACACAGAGTCACTTTATTTATTTATTTATTTATTTTGAGACAGAATCTGGCTCTGTCACCCAGGCTGGAGTACAGTGGCACGATCTCGGCTCCCTGCAACCTCTGTCTCCCAGGTTCAAGCAATTCTCCTGCCCTCCTGCCTCAGCCTCCCTAGTAGCTGGGATTACAGGTGCCCACCACCATACCCGGCTAATTTTTGTATTTTTAGTAGAGATGGGATTTCACCATGTTGGCCAGAGTGGTCTTGAACTCCTGACCTCGTGGTCTGCCCTCTTCGACTTCCCAAAGTGCTGGGATTACAGGTGTGAGCCACTGCACCTGGCTGAGAGTCACTGTTAAAAGGGAAATATGCCCCCTTATTTACGGGAAAATCTGTTCAAGAGTGGTGCCATCCGTAGTACCTGGAAGACTTGGATAGTTCTGGATATCCAATAACTGGATATCAAATAATCGATGACATTTGGCCAGAGAAAGCCCCCACAAAAATTTATGCTGCAAAAGGGAAACATTATTTTCTCTACTACACTAAAAAATTACTGTAATACAATAGTTTCTATAGCGTGGAAGCAGATTATCTTCAGGATGTTCATTTTTGTTCAGTTAGAAATATATTCATCTGTAGAATACAATTATTTTGATAATAATAGCCACAATTATAATAATAACAATAGCTATTTGTATTGATAATAACATAATTCCACACTTCACAAAGTCCAAGATACATTTTTTTTTCATCTTCACATATTGTCATGACACTTTTGACCTTGGGAGCACCTATAATTGATGGTGGGCTACAGTCATTGTCAGCCAGGAGGGACTTAGTTTCCATTGCCTGTGAATGCACAGGTCATTTATAGCTGTTTATGCCATATTGAAAGATACTGTGCCCACAGAAAACCATAGAAACAGATGTGTGACATACAATTAAGTATGTCTAAGTAAGGTTAAAAAAAAGATCTTTCAGTAAGTATAAAATAACAATTCTAAGGGATAAGAAAGCATTGTTATAATTTAGGCAGTATTTTGTTTTCCCTGTTGGTACATAAAATAATGGTGTGTGTTACAACCAGTGGTGTCTCAGGTTTCATAAAATACGATATTTTTATACACATTTAATTATTAAGGAATCTGATGCTCAGAAAGACTAAGAAAGTTTTTTAAAAAGCACAATGAAATATAGTTCCATGTATAATGAGTTGCTACATAGTCTAAATAGACAGGTTAAAAGTGACTATTTCACACCTTCATTCTTACCTTCTTTCCCAATCGAGTTTTCCTTTACAACTGTTCACATACTTATACCTATTAATATAAAAATAAAGTTACACCTTCATAAATGCATTTTTAAAAAAAACACCCAGAATGCCTATTGAGAACAAAAAAGGCAATCAGGACTATGATGTTCTGTTGTCACAGAAAATGGATTCTTCAAACACTAACAATTAAAAAGTTTATTTGATTAATCATTAAATTCATACATAATTAAAATAAATTATGTGTTATGGGAAGTTTATACCATGAAGCTGCTTAAAACCCATAACAAAGTTTAAGGATTAACCCTATCCAAAACTTGATTGTCTGAACATTCTTGAGTGCCCTATATATTTTTTAAATGCACTGATATAAAAAATAGAATATTTTATTACAAATTTTATATCCTCTTGTTATCACCAATTTCATGTTTCTTTGCTCTCCAAGTAGAGTGAGAGTATGAGACAGAACTTGGAAGTCAATACACTCAGAAAGCCAACTGGCCCAGTAAACAATAACTGGTCATATTTTGTAGGATCACGTGACAGTTTTAATGTCCAAATAAGCATCAGGCTTTGGATCCAGTTCAAATTCACACTTAGCTTTTACCTCTGGCAAGAAAGTTCTAGCTGCAGTCCTCATTTATCACATGCCTACAAAGAAGGCACTTTCAGGTGCTGTGGGCCTGCATCATTATGTAAGCTGAGATTTTGTTTGATTCTGCAGAGTGCAGAGATGGAATTCAATTTGAATGCTGGCATTTGAAAGAGAAAGGCATTTTACTAGTGACCTTGAGGATAACTTTCTGCCAGAGAGGTAAAGGCTATCTCATGCTAGGTTCTGGTGTTGAAGGCATTATTTCCTACGAAGTGCAGAGCTATTTGCAAATATCGTGTGCTGTGCATTACTAAGCAATGCAGATGGCTCTGTGTATTTCACTCCCTGGTGATTTACTTGGGATAAATAGAAAGGGTTTCTTGGAGGTAAAAAGCACCAAAATAGTCTACTCTTTACATTTCACAATTAGACATTCATTTGTTCTAACAAAGTTCTCTTTGGAATAACAATGCCATTTGCTTTAATCAGAGAGGAATCTAGCTGAAATCATTCCCAGGGAAAAGGAGTTTTAATTTAAAGGGAAGAATAATTAAAATAGAGGAAAGGCTACAGAAGTAGGTGGACAAATATTCACAGATATATTCTTTATCTCTCTGATGTCAACAATATCTATCTCTCCATATTAGTGTTTCTCTTACTCATTGAAATTTCTAGTAAACAGGGGTGGGAACGTTTCTACACATAAACTAGGCCATTTAACAACAACTCAAGAAAACAAAGTTTGAAATGCATTTGTTTTTTGGTCAATGATAATTGCATTTACGCCTTGAATTTAGACTGATTTACATGTCTACGAGTGGTAAAATGAGTAGAAGTTATCTTTTGATTAAGAATAGGGAAGAATTTTTAAAATCTGGGATTCTCCATTAATGAAGTATTCAGTTGTATGTAACTCAACATTTTCCAGCAATGGCTGAGCAGCTACTTGTTAGAGATTGGGTAGAAGGGTTAGATATTAAAATGGTTTAATCATTAAAACTCTGTTATTTTCCCAATACTTTATAAAACAAAAAAAGATGAATTTTATGAACACTATTTCATGTCATTCAGTAGTAAAATGCATTTGAAACATCATTAATCCATCTTTATAAAGGACCAAAACTTTGAATAGCTTCACTTGTCTTATATTGTCTTGGCTCAGTTCAAAACATAAGAGTTCTTTGAGAATCACTTGAACTCAGGAGGTGGAGGTTGCAGGGAGCCGAGATCGCACCACTGCACTCCAGCCTGGCAGCAGAGCTAGACTCCGTCTCAAAAAAAAAAATGATAAGAGTTCTTTGAACCTTAGATTTTATTTATTTACTTTTATGTATCTATTTACTTATTTTGAAACAGAGTATTGCTCTGTTTCCCAGGCTAGGGTGCAGCAGGAGATCTCAACTCACTGCAACTTCCACCTCCCAGGTTCAAACGATTTTCCTGCCTCAGCCTCCAGAGTAGCTGGGACTCAGCCTCCAGAGTAGCTGGGATTACAGGCGTGCGCCACCACACCCAACTAATTTTCATATTTTTAGTAGAGACGGGGTTTCACCATGTTGGCCATGCTGGTCTCAAACTCCTGACCTCAAGTGATCCACCTGCCTCAGCCTCCCAAAGTGCTAGGATTATAGGCATGAGCCATTGCGCCTGGCTTTAAATTTATATATATGTACACATACGTATGTATACACACACATATGTGCATACATGTGTATATACATACATGTGTATATATACATACGTGTGTATATACATACATGTGTATACATATATACATACGTGTGTATATACATACATGTGTATACATATATACATGTGTATATATACATGCATGTGTGTATATATACATGCATGTGTGTGTATATACACATACATGTATATAAACATACATGTATATATACACATACATGTGTGTATATATACACATACACGCGTGTATATATACACATACATGTGTGTATATATACACATACACGCGTGTATATATACACATACATGTTACATATACACATACATGTTATATATACACACATATATGTATATATACACACATGTATGTATGTGTGTATATATATACTTTCTGGATTTTTAAATTATTCTGTTTAGAACAAGTTTCTGGGCTGAGGATTATAGAGGTCAGCCCTAGAGAGAGAAGATGCGCATCATCCACCTAAAGGGAAGAAGGAATGTTCGTGCTTAGAAGCTATGCAAACTTTCCTGCTTAAGTTGTCATTCTCCAACAGGCTATAAATAGCATCACTTGTGTGAAAGGGAACCTCCTAACTCATTTGTGGCAAATGAAATGTTTAGCAGCACGTTGCATCTACTTTATTGGTCTGGTTATTTAAGTTCAGTAGTAGGCTGACAGATGACAGAGTTCCTATTTAAATCTTAGAAACAAAGAGCTTCAAAAGCAATCTTATTAAGGGTAATGGAATGAACTCACATGTCCCTAGTTGATGAAGAGGTAATGAGATACCCAGTAAATTGCTCACTAAATGTCTTGTCATCTCTGGATCTACAGTGAAAGCCCACCAATGGATTATTCTATTGTTTGTAATGAGTACAGATACAAATATAAGACATCATTGTCATTTGTTAAGCAACATTTTAAAGGCCTTTTAATTTAACATATAAAATATGTTTTATTAAACATATTATGTAAGTAGTGGAAGTTATGTTAGATATGTTTAAGCTAAATGTGAATAACCAAACTTACCTAAAAAGTATATAAAAATTTTGAATTAATTTAATGTAACCAAAAGTGTGGGGGGTATTTCTTTTCTTTTCAAATACAAACAGATTTGCAAGTTTTAATTGGGGGTATTCATGCTATCAGTTTGAGTCAAGTTAAGGCACATGGCTGAAAAAAGAAATCTTGAAATGTAAAATTAATCACTACCCTCTAGATGGAAGAAATGGAATACTTAATCATATTACTATTTTAACAACAGTTAAGACAAATTAAAAAAAATAGATCCAGGACAAAGTTTCTACAATTGGAAACATTTAAATAAATCACTTGGTATTTCAATTGTTATTCTCTATATTTTACAGTGGCCAGTTGTTAGTTTTTAACATTTTACAATTCAAACATTAATATATTCTGACTACTCATTCACCCAACTCACTAATTAGTGAGGTTTATTCGTTTCCTGCAAGCGTTTTGTCCAGGCAAATTACTGCTCTGGTATCATGAACAGTATCCTGCAAAGATGAAGATTCGTAGATATTGGAAAATCAGGTTCAGTTTCAAAACATTATTATTACTTAATAATGCAAGATGAATTCATCACACTTGTGTGTTTGTGTTTTTCAGGGGAATATTTGCTTAGTTCCTAATTAGTGAAGGAAAGTGAAAATAGAGTGCAAAAACTAAGATTGTCATTAAATGTTATGAAGTGAATAGAGAAGAAAGGAAGTAAATCTAATGGCGATTGACTAAGAAAGGTCAAAAAACATATCTAGGAAAAATTGGGAAGAGAAAGGAATATGTTACAAAAGTTAATTGAAGAGCAACATTATTATTCTTAATACCAAGTATCAAATATTTATAGAGATAGCAATAGAGCAATTGTTTCATTGTTATCTTCATTGTTAGGTTTTGAGCTGAGAAAAGGAAATCTTTTATGTTACTGGAAATGAATTTGTAATCTACTAGAATATGTCTTTGACCTCAAGCCAAAAAATAAATAATTGCTTTAGAGGGTATAAAATTGTAACACTTCATGAACACAATTATTTGGCCATGGATCCACATGGGGAGTATGGTTTACTCTCAGACAATATGTAAAATTATCTGAAGAGCGATACCAAATTTGTTATTCTCAATGAAAGTTAATATACTGTTTTTACCCCAATCATGTGTGAAGACATTCAAGAAAACATTTTCTCCATATGCTTCTATCCCTGCTCACCTCCTTTTCTCTTGCTAAGCTATTAGTCCCTATTGTCAGCAGAGAGCTGAGAATTTTCCTGAGCAGTTTTCTCTAATCTTGCCAATCAACAAATATTTACTGGGATATCTACAATGTGGAAGGACCTAGGGTTTTGGTGCTATGGCTGAAATTTTAAAAGTATAGCACATAGTTGTATTTTTGGGAAACATAGCTTTTATGCACATGAAAAGAAAATTAAGAATAAAGGCAGTCAATTTTAGGTGCTGAACAAGATGATATGTACGGAGAGATCATGACAGTTTGGGATACAGAACAATGTCATAGTAGGCATCTCTGGGATGTCACAATAAATGACAACTGCTTGTCTCTAGGGATGGAAACTAGAAATTTGAAGTAGAAGAGACATGTGCTTTTGACTATATACCCTTTTGTATGGTTTTATTTACTTATGCTCTTATAATTTTTTTAATTGAAGATGTTTTCTTAAGGCAGTGTAAAACTAAGGTTTAGACTTATTTATAGTTTTTCTCCACAAACTACAAAGTTGGTATTTGATGTATTTGGTGTTATAGCAAATTATCAGTCGGATGTGGTGGCTCATGCCTGTAATCCCAGCACTTTGGGAGGCTGAGGTGGGTGGATCATGAGGTCAGGAATTTGAGACCAGTCTGGCCAAGATGGTGAAACCCCGTCTCTACTAAAAATACAAAAATTAACTGGGTGTGGTGTCGGGCACCTGTAATCCCAGCTACTCAGGAGGCTGAGGCAGGAGAATTGCTTGAACTTGGGAGGCGGAGGTTGCAGTGAGCCAAGATAGTGCCACTGCACTCTAGTCTGGGTGACAGAGCAAGACTCCGTCTCAAAGAAACAAAAAAAAAAAAAAAAAGAGAAAAGAAAATTATCCTGCTGCAATTCTGGAAATACTAGAGCAATGAAGGACTAGATGAAAATGTATAATGTACCAGATTTTTTTAGTATAATTTTCTTTACTTTTCAGATTACTGATAATGGCACACTCTTAAAAAATTTAAATAGCTTTATTAAGAAGTAATTCACATACCATGTAATTTGCCCATTTACAGTACGCAATATGTGCAAGCATCACTGAGGTCAATTTCAGAACATTGCATCATGTCAAAAAGAAACCTCATACCCTTTATCTATCATCTCCCTTTCTCCTCATACCCCCAATCCCAATCAGCCGCTGAGACCCAAGCAGCTACTTTCTGCCTCTGTGGACTTCCCTATTCTAGAATTTTATATGAATTGAATCATATAGTTTGTCAACTTTTGTGACTAGTTTATTTCACTTAACATAAAGTTTTCCAGGTTCATCAGTGTTGCAACATATATCAGTATTTTATCCTTTTTACTGCCAAGCAATGTGTTCTTATATGATACTCCACATTTTGCTTATCCATTCCTTAGCTGATGAACATTTGGGTTATTCCAACACTTTTTGGCTCTTATGAATAATGCTGCTATAATAATTCTTGTATAAGTTTTTGTATAGACATATGTTTTCTCTTGGTTATGTGTTTAGGAGTTGAAATGCTGAGTCACATGGTTACTCTACATTTAATTGTTTGAGAAACTGTCAGACTGTTTTCCAAAGCAGCTACCTGACTTTACATCCCACCAGCAGTGTATGTGGCTTTTGATTTCTCCACATCCTTGGCATGCTTATTATTGTCTGCCCTTTATGATTCCGGCCATCCTTGTGTGAAGTGGTTCTCACTGCAGTTTTGATTCGCAGTTCCCTGATGATCAATACTGTTGAGCATCTTTTCATGAGCTTCTTGGCCATTTGTATATCTTCCCTGGAGAAATGTCGAGTCAGCTTCATTGGTCATTTTTTAATTGGCTTGTTTTTGTTACCGACTTGTAGCTTCATTACGTATTATGGATATGACTTCCTTATCAGATACATGATTTGCAAATATTTTCTCCTATTTTGTGGGAGATAACTTTTTTGCAATAAATATTTTTAATTGATACATTACAGTTGCACATATATGTGGGATACATGTGGTATGTTGATAAATGCATACAGTGTAGTGATCAAATCAGAATAATTTGGGATATCCATGACTTCAAACATTTATCATTTCTTTGTGTTGAGAACATTCCAAATCTTCTCTCCTAGCTATTTTGAAATATATAATAAATTATTACTTAACTATAGTCACCCTACTGTGCAACTGAACATTAGTACTTATTCCTTCTCTCTAACTGTATGTTTGTACCCATTGACCAATATCTCTCTATCCCCACCCCCACACTCTTCCCAGCCTCTGGTAACCACCATTCTGCTCGCTACATCCATGAGATTAATTTTTTTTAGCTTCTACATATTAGCGAGAAAATGTAATATCTGTCTTTCTGTGTCGGGCTTGTCTCACTTAACATAATATCCTCCAGTTCTCTCTTGCTCTGTCACCCAGGCTGGAGTGCAGTGGTCCGTTATCAGCTCTCTGCAACCTCTGTCTCACGGGTTCAAACAATTCTCCTCCCTCAACATCCCCCCATCCCATAGCTGGGACAACAGGCATGCCCCACAGCTTCTGGCTAATTTTTGTATTTTTTTGTAGAGACGGGATTTTGCCATGTTGGTCAGGCTGGTTTGGAACTCCTGACCTCAGATTATGCGCCCGCCTTGGCCTCCCAAAGTGCTGGGATTATAGGCATGACCACCATGCCTCGCCTGTCTTTTTGAAAATAGCGATTTTAACTGGGGCTACATGATATCATGATATCTCATTGTGGTTTTGATTTGCATTTTCCTAATGATAAGTGGATGTTGAACATTTTTTTCTATACCTGTTGGTCGTTTGTATGTCTCCTTTTGAGAAATGTCTGTTCAGATAGTTTGCCGGTTTTTAATCAGATTTTTTTTCTATTGAGTTGTTTGACTTTCTTATATATTCTAGTTATTGATTCCTTGTGATTTGGATAGTTTGTGAATATTTTCTCCCACTCTTTAGATTGTCTCTTCACTTTGTTAATCGCTTTCTTTGCCGTGCCCAAGCTTTTTAGCTTGATGTAATCTCACTTGTCAATTTTTGCTTCTGTACCCTGTGCTTGATCTTACTCAAAAAATCTTTGTTCCAGATCAATGGCCTGGAGCATTTGCCCAATGTATTTTTCCAGTAGTTTCACAGTTTCAAGTCTTACATTGAAGTCTTCACTCCATTTTGATTTGATTGATAGGGGTCTAGTTTCATTCTTCTGTATGTGATTATTGTTTTCTCCGTACCATTTATTGAAAAGACTGTCCTTTTTCCAATGTATATTATTGGCACCTTTGTTGAAAATGGGCTGCTTGTCAATACATATATTCATTTCTGCATTCTCTATTCTGCTCCATTATTCTATGTATCTGCTTTTTATGCCAGTCTCATGCCTTATGGGCTGATTGTCAATGCATATGTTTATTTATGGGTTCTCTGTTCTGTTCCATCATTCTAGGTGTCTATTTTTTATACCAGTACCATGTCTTACTAGAACTTGGTTGTATATTTTGAAGTCAAATAGTGTGATGCATCTATGCTTTGTTCTTTTTGCTCAAGATTGCTTTGGCTATTTAGTGTCTTTTGTGTTCATACTAAATTTTATAATTTATTTTCTATTTCTGTGATGAATGCCATTGTTTGATACAAATTTCATTGAAGGGATTGCTTTCTTCATGGTGTTCTTTGAAGTACAAACATTTTCAATTTTGAAAAAGTCCAAATTATCTATTTTTCTCTTTTGTTGCTCATTATTTTGGAGTCTTATCTTAAAAGCTTATTCCAAATTTGAGGTCATAAAGATTTAATCCTACATTTTCTTCTTAAAGTTTTATACATTTAGCACTTACATTTGTGTCTTTGATCAATTTTGCGTTACTTTTTTTTGTATGGTGTAAGATAAAGATCCGATTTCATTCTTTTGTGTGACTATCTGCTTCTCCCAGCATCATTTGTTGAAAAGACTATTCTTTCCTCATTTAAATGGTCTGGGCACCCTTGTTGAAATCAGCTGACCATAATTATGTGATTTTATTTTTGAACTCTCAATTCTATTACTTTGGTCTATATGTCTATACTTGTGCCAGTACCATGCTGTCTTGATTACTATTCCTTTGTTAGTAAGTTTTAAAATCGGGAAGTGTGAATTTTTCTATTTTTTCATTCCTTTTGAGATTGCTTTGGTGGTTCTAAGTCCCTTACAACCGCATATGAATTTTAGAGTGAATTTTTAAAAGTTTATAAAGAAGGCAGCTGGGATTCTGATGGAGACTGCATTGGATCTGTAGATCAATTTGGGGAGTATGGCCATCTTATCAACCCATGAACATGAAATGTTTTACATTCATTCATGTCTTTAGCTTCTTTCAGCAATGTTTGGAGTTTTCAGAGCATAAGCTTGGCACTTTTTTGTTAAATTTATTGCTAAGTATTTTATTCTTTTTGATATAATTATAAACAGAATTGTTTTCTTAATTTCATTTTAAAATTGTTTATTGCAAATACATAGTAACACTGTTTTTTTAATATTGATTATGTACTATGCAATCTTGTTGAACTCATTTGTTAGTGCTAATAGTTTATGGTGTACTCTTGCCATAAAAGCAGAAAAATAAAAAGAAATGTCTATCTGCTTATAGAAGCTTGCATGGAAAGGGGAGAGGGCCACGACCCCCAAAATTATGTCCAAATCTGTCCTTCTGTTGGTTTATGTCTTCCTCCTACCTGTCTAGAGCTGGAGTCCAGTTTCTCAGTTCCCCAATATGTAACCAACCTACCCAAACGCTTATGTATTAACTGAGCTCATAGCAGCCACCTGTTCCTTCTCCATCCGGATTAAGGACATTTGATTTCTAAATCCCAATTTCAAAGAACAGAGGAAAAAAAAGAAGTTCTGAATATAAACCCTCCATTTCAAACATCTATGTATCCTTTCCTTCTCTATCTCATATGAATGAAGAAAATCCTAAAGCAATTCTTGCTTTCTGAAAAGAAAAATGCAAGATAATTTATTATTATTTTCTTTTTAAATTTGAATTTGAGTTTTAGATTCAGGAAATATATGTGCGGGTTTGTTACAGGAGCATAGTGCATGATGCTGAGGTTTGGGCTTTTATTGATCCTGTTACCCAGATAGTGAACATAATCCTCACTAAGAAGGTTTTCAGCCCTTGCCCCGCTCCCTCCATCCTTCTGGAGTCCCTAGAGCCTATTTTTCCATTTTTATGTCCATGTGTACCTAAGGTTCAGCTTATAAGTGAAAACATATGATATTTGGTTTTCTGTTTTTGCATTTTTTCACTAAGGATAATGGCCTCCAGCTGTATCCATGTTGCTGCAAAGAACATGATTTCTTTCTTTTTTATTGCTACATAGTAGTCCATAATGCATATGTAAACATTTTCTTCATTCAATCCACCATTGATGGACATCTAGATTGATTCCATGTATTTGGTATTGTGTACATGAGTACATGTGTCTTTTTGGTAGAACAATTTATTTTCTTTTGGGTATATACCCAGTAATGGGATTGCTGGTTCAAATGGTAGTTCTGTTTCAAGTTCTTTGAGAAATCTCCCAACTGCTTTCCATAGTGGCTGAACTATACCTTCTCACCAAGAGTGTATAAGCATTCCCTCTTCTCTGCAGCCTCGCCAGCATCTGTTGTTTTTTGACTTTTTAATAATAGCTATTCTAACTGGTGTGACATGGTAGCTCATTGTCATTTTCATTTGCATCTCTCTGATGATTAGTGACATGGAACATTTTGTCATATGTGTGTTGGCTGCTTTTATATCTTCTTTTGAGAAGTGTCTGTTCACCCACTTTTAATGGGGTTATTTGTTTTTTTCTTATTGATTTAAGTTCCTTATAGATTCTGGATATTAGTCCTTTGTCAGATGCGTAGTTTGCAAATCTTTTCTACCATTCTGTGTGTTGTCTTTTTACTCCATTGATAGCTTCTTTTGCTGTGCAGAAGCTCTTTAGTTTAATCAGGTCCTAATTGTCAGTTTTTGTTTTTGTTAAAAATGCAGGATAATTTAGTCAGCTTACTACTTATTATCAGTTCATAATATTGAGTTGGTCATTATTTCTTAGTAAAAAGGTTGAGAATAAAAAATTCAGTCATTTCTGAGGTCATTTGTGGATTAGCTTGTCAGCATCATTTCTCTTCTGCTAGCCTTCTTCATAGTGTAAATATCTGCCACTGGGATATATTAGCAACTGTGACTCTTTTCCAGATATCTACTTTTAGTTTCAAATTCTGATTTTTTCATTTGATCCTCTTATTGCAATACGATTGTCAAAAATGTTTTTTTGCTTCAATATCTTATTTTTGTATTTGATTGTAATTAATTTGAAAAAGTGTTTTTCAGTCCTTCCCCCTCCCTAATTAAATCTTAGAAATCAACTCTAATCCTTTAAAAATTTCTTCATCAAATTTATAAGTAGAAATATCATTGAATTCACAGTATTTTGCAAATTTTTCATTTGCAGCATTTTAATTATTTTTTCTGGATAGCTAAGCCTGAATGTGAAGAGATCATATTTCTCTGGGTCCTTAAAAGTTTTACTAAATTGATAATATGTTCAAAATAATTGTTACTATTCAGTGTCCCACATTACCATCTCTGTTTTCTTTTTCTTTTTTTTTTTTTTTAATACCTAGGAAATCCTGGGAGAAAAGGGAAGAAGTTCTAAGTTTGGGCTCAGTCATCCCAACTATAGAAAACAAATGTTCAAAATATAAATTTTGCAAAAAAAAAATGGATGGATAAAATTAATCTATGAAAACGTCCATTGTAGGTGTAAATTAAGTGTCATCATTTCTTCTCCCTTCCCTCCTCAAATATTTCAGGAAATGAAAACTGGAGAGTGGTAGACACCTGCTACACAGATTAGTTTTTGTTTGCTTTTTTATTGGACATTCATAATTTTTATTTTTTATTTGTTATTTTTTTTGAAATAGGGCCTCATTCTGTCACCGAGGCTGGAGTGCAGTGGCATAATTTCAGCTCACTGCAGCCTCGACCTCCGGGTTCAAGCGATTCTCCCACTTCTGCGTCCTGAGTAGGTGGGATTACAGGCGTGCGCCGCCACACCCCACTAATTTTTGTATTTTCAGTAGAGACAGGGTTTCACCATGTTAGCCAGGCTGGTCTCGAACTCCTGAGCTCAAGTGATCTACCCGCCTCGGCCTCCCAAAGTGCTGGGATTACAGGCGTGAGCCACCGCGCCCGGCCATGATAATTTTTAAAAGCCCATCTCGATTTCTGCATGATTAAGGATGAAGCAATGAGTGAAACGTTATTCAGTTTTATTTAATCACTAAATAAACAGAGAAAGAAAGCAACTAATAAACCAATGTGAATCTCCAGAAACACACGGTATTTTCAAAGTGTGAAAACATTAATGACTTTCATTCCCCTGGGCTGATAGAAACTCAAAGCTTTGGAAAAAAGTGAGTTTTCTGTGTATTTAAGAGGAGGAAATAGGTAAGTTTGCTAGATCCTATTCCTTTTTTTTTTTTATTTTTCTCATTCCTTGAGTAAAGCGGAATCTGAGACTCCTCGATTTTCCTAGCTGCACCATCCGCGCAGTCAGCAGTAGCCATAATAGCTGGGAGGTGGGGGCAGGAGGTGCAAGCACGTGGCAAGCCCTTTTATGCGTCAGCTAATTCCATGCTCTAGCTATAGCCTTGGGAACGTGAGAAATCCCAGACAGATGCTTTTTGTAAAGCTAAGGGAGAAAGTAAAAACTGATCCTGCTAAAAAAGAGATAACAAAAAGTACATCTGTGAATTATTTAAATCCGGCATTAAAAGGGTAATGCTGAAGAATTCATTAGCAAATTTAAGCACTTCTGTGCAGGCTCCTGATAATTTAATTTTTTCAGCTACTTTATGCAAATTTATCCTCTAATAATTTTTTAGTTTTATCTTTCCTCCTGTCCAAAGTAAAGCACCATAAACTAATATAGGTATATATATTTTAAATTACCTAATATGCATAATACAAGTTGCTGTGTTGCTTAATCTTTAGTCATGCATTCAGCCAAGCTTTATGACTGTCTCCCATGTGCCAGGTTGGTGAAACTGTGGGAGAAAGCTGTGTTTTAACAGAAAGGATATAGGGCCGGGCACGGTGGCTCACACCTGTAATCCCAGAACTTTGGGAGGCTGAGGTGGGTGGATCACCTGAGGTCAGGAGTTCGAGACCAGCCTGGCCAACACGGTGAAACCCCATCTCTACTAAAAATACAAAAAATTAGCTGGGCGTGTTGGCAGGTGCCTGTAATCCCAGCTACTCAGGAGGCTGAGGTAGGAAGATCACTTGAACCCAGGAGGCGGAGGTTGCAGTGAGCTAAGATCGAGCCATTGCACTCCAGCCTGGGCAACAAGAGTGAAACTCCATCTCAAAAAAAAAAAAAAAAAAAAAAAGCGGGGGCGGGGGGTATAGTCATCAGATTTGGACATCTTTGTATTTGAATCAGGCCTTCCTATTTGCTATTCATGTGACTTTAGAAAAAACATATAACAGATAAAGAGTATTTGCCATTAATATTTGCTCTCTAGACAAAGACTGACAAGAACATTAAGTGGGGCCTTCCCCCTTGCCCCTGAGTAGGAAGAAGGCTTGGGTATGTACAGGAAGAGGTGAGGTCCACCAAGAAAAAAGGATCAGACTGTGGTTCTCAAACACCTGCTTTCAGAGAGGTAGACATTTTTATGAGAAACAAAAGACTACTACATTTTTTTTTAAGAGATGGGATCTTGCTGTGTTGCCCAGGTTGGACACCAACTCCTGGGCTCAAGGAATCCTCCCACCTCAGCCTTCCAAGTAGCTGGAACTTTAGGCATGCTTGGCTAAGATGATCATTATCCAGTGTACTGTAGTAGCCTGCTAGGACCATCACAGACTGAGTGGCTTAGCAACCTCTGCCTCCCGGGTTCAAGCGATTCTCCTGCCTCAGCCTCCCAAGTAGCTGGGATTACAGGCATGTGCCACCATGCTGGGCTAATTATTTATATTTAGTAGAGATGGTGTTTCACCATGTTGGTCAGGCTGGTCTCGAACTCCTGACCTCAGGTGATCCACCCGTCTCAGCCTCCCAAAGTGCTAGGATTACAGGCATGAGCCACTGTGCCCAGCCAGATATTTATTTTCTCATGGCTCTTAGAGGCTAGACATTCAAGAGTATGAGCCTGGCAGGGTTGAATCCTGGTGAAGCCTCTATCTTTGGATTGAAGATGGCTGTCTTCTTGGCTGTGTCCTCCCATGCTCTCAGTGTTTCTTTCTCTTCTCCTTCTTTCTTTCTTCTTCTTTTTTTTTTTTTTTTTGAATCAGGGTCTGACTCTGTTACCCAGGCTGGAGTGCAGTCGCACGATCAGAGCTCAATGCAGCCTCCAACTTCTGGGCTCAAGCAATCCTCCCACCTCAGCCTCCCAAAGCACTGAGATTGCAGGCCACCACACCCAGCCTTCTTTCTTTTCTTTTCTTTTTTTGTTTTCTTTTCTTTCTTTTTCTTTTTTTTTTTTTTTTGAGACAGAGTTTTGCTCTTGTTGCCCAGGCTGGAGTGCAATGGCATGATCTCGGCTCACTGCAGCCTCTGTCTCCCAGGTTCAAGCAATTCTCCTGCCTCAGCCTCCTGAGTAGCTGGGATTACAGGCGTGTGCCACTATGCCCAGCTAATTTTATATTTTTAGTAGAGATAGGGTTTCTCCATGTTGGTCAGGCTGGTCTCAAACTCCCTACCTCAGGTGATCCGCCAGCTGTGGCCTCCCAAATTTCTGGGATTACAGGCATGAGCCACTGCACCCAGCCTTCTTTCTCTTTTTATAAAGACTCCAGTCCTACTGAATTAGGGGCCCAGCCTTATGACCTCATTTTACCTTAACCTCTTCCTTAAAGACCCCGTATCCAAACTCAGTAACATTGAAGGTTAGGGCTTCACATATAAATTTTGGGGTGAAACAATTCAGTCCATAACATTCAGGAAAGCCATTGATTGTATTTTATAAGGTGCATAATGAAATGCAATGTGGCAACTATTATTTATTTGTGGCTTTCCCCCATCACATTCTCACTCTCTCACGCATGTATACACACATGTGCACACACGCACACACATTCACACACACAGACATCCCTGCCTATCTCACAATCACACAGACAAGCTTGCCTTAGTGCTTTGCATCTGATTCTGAGTTTTCTACAAGATTTTCTGATATTCATAATGCATGGCTAGTGATTGTTATTGTTTATTTATATTTCTAGTGATTGATTATTTCAGGGCACGGTTTTACCCCATTCTACAAATCTGGTTTGAAGATAATAACAATAATAATAATAGTGGTAGTAAGTAATTTATTGAGTGCTGAGGATGGTACTTATTTCATTTGCTTATTTAATTTTCACAACAATCTGTTGAAGTGGAAACTATTACTGTCCCTATCTCACAGATGAGGAGCTAAGCTTCAGGAGGTAGCGACTTGCCTTAAGCCTTATAATTAGTACATTCCAGGCTGCCTGACTTTAAAGCCAGTGCTCTTAACCTCTGTACGGGGGAAATTTCACACATTGACAAAAATCTGAGAGCCCCGACAAGTCTCCTCTATCTTTATCTTGCAACTGGATTTTGAGCCTAGTTAATCCTCGAGTTAGATTTTTAGTCTTTCCCTGAGTGAGGGGTGCACTGGATAGGGTCTCCTGCCTATACCTTACTAAAATATTTTCTGTTCATTTTCATTGTGTTTACCACGCTCATCTGTAAGCTTCCCTTCCCTGTCACTGCACTACCCAGAAAGACTAAGAGGATTAATAGAACACTCTTCCTGGGAGAGGCTCAAAATATAATTGGGAGATTGCTGTATTCAGTTATTAAAATCACACCATGATGAACTTGGTACTTTCAACAGTAAGTTCAAATTGTTGTGGTGGCAAAGAGACAAATAGATAGGATGCCTGGAGGGGCCATGAAATAGTTGCTTATGGAGGAAGCTTCTAGCCATAAACAGAAAGTAAAAGTTTGCCAGGCAAGGCAGAAGGTATTCCATGCTGGGTATTCCACATTAAAACATTCCACTACATGTTTTTAATCTTATGGTATTTATGTTTAGCTGTGGTTTTTGTTCCGTAGCATTTTAAAAAAAGAAGTAATGCATCTTGGCTCCATCCTGCTACATCCTCACTCCCCCCACCCACCACCAGTGTTTCCTGTCCTGTGGATATGTCCTCCAGGTGAAAATAAGGTGCTAGGCATCTGGTAACTAAACTTGACAAACTCAGGATTCTATAAATTGGATATTCAGGGAGAACAATCCACTTGATTACTTTTACTTGACTTAAAATATATATGAACTAATAAACATCATAAAGTATTATAATCATACAATTGAATCAACAATGTGATTTTTTTTTTTTTTTTTTTTGATATGGAGTCTCACTCTGTCATCCAAGCTGGAGTGCAGTGGTGCGGTCTTGGCTCACTGCAACCTCTGCCTCCCTGGTTCAAGCGATTCCTGTGTCTCAGCCTCCCAAGTAGCTGGGATTACAGGCGCCCACCATCACACCCGGATAATTTTTATATGTTTTAGAAGAGATGGGGTTTTGCCATGTTAGACAGGCTGGTGTCGAACTCCTGGCCTCAAGTGATCCGTCCGCCTCGGCCTCCCAAAGTTTTGGGATTACAGGCATGAGCCACTGCACCTGGCAACAATATACTTTTAAGTCAATCAGAACGCCATCTCCCACTTCCACTCCTTGAGGGGAGAAATATTTACCCACCCAGCAGGAAAAGCCTCTCTCTAGTTTATTGTCTTACTGACATCCCATCAGTGTGAGGTTTACCAGAACCCAGCTGATATGGTTAGGCTTTGTATCCCCACCCAAATCTCATCTTGAATTGTAATCCCCACGTGTTGCGGGAGAGACCTGGTGGGAGGTGATTGGATCGTGGGGTGGTTTTCCCGATGCTGTTCTCGTGATACTGAATAAGTCTCACGAGATCTGATGGTTTTATAAAGGGCAGTTTCCCTGCGCTTGCTCACGCTGGCCTGCCACCTTGTGAGGGGAGTGGCTGCTTCCTATTCTGCCGTGATTTTAAGTTTCCTGAGGCCACCCGAGCCGTATGTGGAAAGGTGAGTCAATTAAACCTCTTCAGTTTATAAATTACCCGGTCTCTAGTAGTATCTTTATAGCAGTGTGAAAATGAACCAATACACAAACTTATTTTACAAATGAGGAATTTTGTTTCAAACACCTAATCTTACATCATTTTTGGAGCAGCAAACTATCCTATTTTTGAAGTTACAGATTTCGTACTTCCTGACAGTTTAGTATCAGCCCCTTAGCTACTCTTAACCCAGGTCAATATATATATCTCTCTTCATCTATTTTTCTGTCCTTTCTCTAAAAGTACAAGGAATCAATCTTCAGATAATGGTATCTTTTCTACCTGTGCCCTTGTCCCTTCCTCTCTCCTGTTCTCATAAAACCTTCCCACCATTTCCCTCAATTTGCTCATTCCCTGCTGAGAAAGCAGGAGCAACTGGTGTGGAGAAGAAAGCAACAGGGAATTAGACAACGAAGTGACCTTTAAACTATTTTTTTTTTTTTTAGCACTTTCCTCGTCCCTGAAGTACACATGTCACTATGGCCACATCTGTGGATGATCCCTTCTGCAAGGTTGCAGAGAGAAGCAACCGGGACCCAAAAGGGAATCGGAAAGCAGGGGTTGTGTAGGAAGCAGAGGCAAGGGTTTGGCGAAGTGAATGGGAGAAAATAAGAATTCAGTATATTTCCATGGAAATTAATATGAAAAATTGGCAAGGAAAAGTTCTGAAAAATCCATTTAAAACGCAAACAGTGTAGGTTAATGAAATATCTGCAGAGAAATAAATCTGTGGTTTTATTTCAGTGATAATCCAAATAGAGAATATATGGGTTAACATTTGGGCAGATGTCCTTAAGATGAAAGAAATTGAATAGTAATGCCAGCTGACTGCAGTTTCCCACATGGAAGGAAGCAAAGCGGGTGAAGAGTGAACATTTCCCAGGTGGTAACTGAGCTAGGTGCTTTGAACAGTATTTCCTGCACATGGCTGATTATCAGAATCACCTGAGGAGCTTTAAAAAATACACAATATTGCCCTTCCCTGGACCTGTTTAATCTGAATTTCTAGATGCACTGCCCCTACTACCCCCCACCTCTCCCTCCCTCCCTCCCTCTCTCTCTCTCTCTCTCCCCCTTTCCTCCCTCCCTCTTCCCCTCTCCCTCCCCCCCCCCGTGTGTGTGTGTGTGTGTGTGTGTGTGTGTGTGTGTGTGTGTGTAAAATTGTCAACTCAGTCACTTGGGATGTTTCTCAGGTGATTCAGATGACCAGTAATTTGGGGAACCACATTCTCATGTAATCCTTTCAACAAGCCAATGAAATAGGTTAAGGAGAATGGGCTTGCTTCTTGATAATGAACCAAGGACTGCTGTAGGAAACTGCAATTCAGGGCTTCTAGAGCTGTAAAATGAACTTTTTGCATAATGCATCTGGTGGTGAAAGAAATAATATGGTGGGGAAGGCTCATTAAAGCTCAGCATGTGGGCCCACATCTGCTTGGTGGAACATACTCATTCACTCTATGCTACTCTGCTTTCTGGCTTCTGGCTCTTGCATGGAGAATAGTTACAGTTGATCAGTTTCTTAACAAAATGTTCCATTAGACTGATCATCCTTTACAGATAAATCCTGGGACATGGAATGCATAGGAGAAGCCGTATGGTTTGTTATCATGGTGAACAGTTTGTTGAGATGTATATTCACACAAGCAGAGGCTCACTGCATATTTGAGAGTCTGAGTGTGACTCCTGGCTCTACCCCTAGGCTGCCGACCTCAGGTATATTATTTAATGTCCTTCTGCCTCAGATTCCGCAAGTGTTGTGGGGATTATAATACGGTCTACTTCATTAGGTCAGTTGTGGATTAAATTGGAAAATGCCTATCAAGAGCTTAGAATAGTGTCCAGGGACATAATATATGTTCAATAAGGAAATGCATATTTTCTTTTTGTTTAACTTTTAAGTTCAGGGGCACATGGGCAGGATGTGTAGGTTTGTTACACAGGTAAATGTGTGTCATGGGGGCTTGTTATACAGATTATTTTATCACTCAGGTATTAAGCCAAGTATTCATTACTAATTTTTTCTGATCCTCTTCCTTCTCCCACCTTCCACTGTCAGATAAGCCCCAATGTATGTTGCTGTCCTCTGCGTCCATGTGTTCTTATCATTTAGCTTCCCACTTGTAAGAGAGAACACGCCATATTTGTTTTTCTGTTCCTGCATTAGTTTGCCAAGGATAATGACCTCCAGTTCATCTATGTCCCTGAAAGGACATGATCTTGTTCTTTTTATGGCTGGAAATGCATATTTTCTGAATAAGTCTCTAACATATTCCTAATGCACAGTGGCACACATGAGATACCAGGGTGATTACATGGCATAAAGTCACATATTTGGTAAGTGGGTGATTTAGGTTTTAAATCTGAGTCTGACTGACATTGAGCCAGTCATCTTCCTACTACTCAATGGTGAACCTTAGCCACAAGAAATAAATGATCCTAAATCAGAGATGGTCAAAGCGTGGTGGTCTGAGTGCCCTGAAGAAGACAAAGATGGCATGTGGATAGAACCAAAAAGGATGGATCACAAAAATAAGAGCAACTTGCCCTACTGTAGGGGCCAAGGAAAACTTCCCTTTCACCCTCTGAAGGTTCCCAGAAAAATCAACTCTCAAAAGGAAGATTAGTTGGAGAAAGGGCATACAAATTGATTAGCAGGTCCAGGGGAGTGACTGCCCAGTATCACAATGGGAAACCCGGCATGGTGGCTCACACCTGTAATCCCAGCACTTTGGGAGGTCGATGCAGGCAGATCACTTGAGCCTAGGAGTTCAGGACCAGCCTAGGCAACATGACAAAACCCCATCTCTACAAAAAATACACAAATTAGCCGGGCATGGTGGTGTATGCCTGTAGTCCTAGCTACTTGGTCAGGGCTGATGTGGGAGGATCGCTTGAGCCTGGGAGGCAGAGGTTGTAGTGAGCCGAAATTGTGCCACTGCACTCCAGCCTGGATGACAGAGAAAGACTTGCTCTCAAAAAAACAAGGAGGCAGGGGGCGGTTACAGATGCTTATATACCCTATGTCTTAGGGGATTGGGGAAGTATGGATGATTTTTAGGGGGAAAGTAATGATTTTTAGGGGAATTCAGTGGGCTTGAAGAATATACAATGGCCTGCAACAAGTCTGTTGGGCCTGCAGAGCAGACAATGGTCTGTGAAAAAAGTCTGTCCAAGCGAGTAGATAGACTTCCATCTTTCTTCCTGTGATACTGACTACAGTTAATGAAAAGTTAGGGAAGGGACCAGAGGTCATTGTTTTCTTCTTTGGCAGGTCTGGACTTTAGGCAGATAAGAAACCTCAGAGAACAACTTCATTCTGTGTTTTGGGAGACATAGAGAACCGAGAGACCCGGGTGGGGTGGGGAGAATGTCAGAGAGACCTTGTGGCTCCTTTTTGAATTCAGCATGTCAAAGTGCCATATTTGGCATATTCGTTTCTGAGCCCCAACATGACCTAGAACAATCCAGAAATTGAAGGAGATGAAGACATGACAGAATGTTGGAACTAAAATAGAAACTACTGAGCGAATCAGTGATACTTGGTAGAATATGTGCTATGACCAAGAACTTGATTTTTAGAATATGAGAAAGACAAATAGTAGGAGCAAAGGACAAATAGTAGGAGCAAAGATAAACAATCAACTTTAAATTCTAGGAGGGACAAATGGTTATACAAAAAATGGAAAACTAATCACAGTACCCTACTCTGTAGTAAACAATAGTACATATTTATAGTAATATAACTATGCTTTATTGATTTAACCTAAAGAATCATATTACTGTGTTAGGTGGATCAGGAGAAATAGTGTACAGGAATTACAGCCTCATCTATCATAGCAGAAAATCAAATAATGTATAAAATGGAAAAAGATAAAAAATATTAATATAAACCTACGTAGAGTAGGGAGATAACTGCAAAAAGAAAGAAAAACATCAAAGGGTTAAAAATTGCTTTTCAAGAAAAAGGGAGGATTTGCAGGTGGGGGCTAACATGGAAAACCCTTTAAAAATACATTCACAATATTTCTGACATCAAATGTGTGAAGGCTTTTCCCACATCAACCAATTCTTCAATTCTTATCAGACACCGACTGGGTGTCCTACAATTCTGACACTAACTGCCCTGAGTTAGCACAGACCCGACAAGCTAAAGGCTCAGTCCCACAGGACTGCCCTCCTCTCTCCGCTTCAGATGCCGATCGAGAGTCCCAGGTTGTGACCTGTACTTCTGACCAACCGACTGTAATTCAGGGATTTCCACACCTCCTTCTTGGGTTTGATAATTTGCCAGAACAGCTTGCAGAACTCAGGAAGGCACATTACGTATGTTTATGGTTTATTGTAAAAGTTACAAGTCAGGAACAGCCAAATGGAAGAGATGCACAGGGCAAAATGTAGGGAAGGGGCGTGGAGGTTCCATGCTCTCTCTGGGGTGCACCACCCTCCCAGCATCTGCATGTGTTCAACCCAGAAGCTCTCTGAACCCCATTTGGGGTTTTTATGGAAGTTCTGTTATGTAGGCATGACTGATTAAATTATTGACCATTGGTGATTGAACTTAATCTCTAACCCCTCTTTACTTCCCAGAGGTCGAGGGGCTGAAAGTCCCAACCCTCTGATGACATGGTTGGTTCTCTGGCATCCAGAGCCCATCATCAAAGTTACCTCATTAGCATAAACAGATGCGGTGGAAAGGGGCTCATTATGAATTTTAAAAAAGATACTGCTCTCATCTCTGTTACTTGGGAAATTCCAAGGGTTTTAGGAGCCCTATGCCAGGAAGAGAAAAGCAAATATATGTATTTCTCATTCTATCGTATCACAGGGACAAGGAACCTGTTTTTCATTTAAAAACTCCCCCCAACACACACACCCCTCCCCGACGGAGTTTTGCCCTCATTACCCAGGCTGGAGTGCAATGGTGCGATCTCAGCTCACCTCAATCTTTGCCTCCTGGGTTTAAGCAACTTTACTGCCTCAGCCTCCCAAGTAGCTGGGATTATAGGCGTGTGCCACCATGCCCGGCTAATTGTGTATTTTTAGTAGAGGTGGGGTTTCTACATGTTGGTCAGGCTGGTCTCCAGCTCCTGAACTCAGGTGATCTGCCCACCTCAGCCTCCCAAAGTGCTGGGATTACAGACGTGAGCCACTGTGCCTGGCTAAAAACCCTTTGACTTGGGCCAGGCACTTTGGGAGGCTGAGGTGGGTGGATCATGAGGTCAGGAGTTCAAGACCAGACCAGCCTGGCCAACATGGTGAAACCCTGTCTCTATTAAAAATACAAAAATTAGCTGGGCGTGGTGGTGGGTGCCTGTAATCCCAGCTATTCAGGAGGTTGAGGCAGGTGAATCGCTTAAACCTGGGAGGCAGAGGTTGCAGAGAGCTGAGACTGCACCACCGCACTCCAGCCTGGGCAATAGAGCAAGACTCTGTCTCAAAATAAACAAGAAAAACAAAAAACCTTTGACTTCGTGAGATGGCTCACACCTGTAATCCTGGCATTTTGGGAGGCCAAGGTGGAAAGATTGTTTGCATCCAGGAGTTCAAGACGAGCCTGGGCAACATGGTGTGAGACTCTGTTTCTACAAAAAATAAAAAATTAGTCCTGCATGGTGGCATGCACCTGTAGTCTCAATTACTTGGGAGGTTGAGGTGGGGGTATTGCTTGAGCACGGGGAGTTGAGGCTGCAGTGAGCGATGGTCTTGCCACTGCACTCTATCCTGGGTGACAGAGTAAGACCCCGTCTCAAAAACAAAAGAAAACAAAAACCCTTGAGTAGGATTTGTTTTTTAAATCACCTCTTTGTATTTTTAAAAATAATAATTAAAATATAGTACCCATTAAAAATAAAATTTCCGGTTTTCCAAGGATCTAGGACAACTGGCTTGCCTCAGTGAGAGATTGTTTTGCCCACCCTCTTTTTAAGATTATGTGGGATTTTTGTTATTTGACAATACTGTCTTGGCTTGATCTAGGGAAACAGGAAAGGACTATGTTGAGAAAAAGCAAGTAGCAACTGGTTTAGGTTCAAAGGGGAAGATAAGTGGGGAAATCTTAGGACAGAGAATGGGAGTGATGGATGAACAAATTCTATATTCCCTGGAAGAATAATTAACATCAAGAAATGGTGAATAGTGATGGCTGAAAACAATATAGGCTTTACTATATAGCAACCACTGTTCCAAGCTTTTCACAGTTGTGGAGTTGTGTTGCTCTCCACAACTCAATGAGGGTTGGGTACAGTTATTATCCCTATTTTACAAATGACAAAACTGAGTTAAACAGAGATTATGTAACTTTATCAAGATTACATGGTTAGCAGGTGCCACAGTCAAAATCTGATCCCATACCCTCTGGCTCCTGAAGTCTGAGCTCTTAAGTTCTATATGATATTACTTCTGAATACACATGTACATCTCAGCTTCTGGGTTGAGGTGGAAAACTTACAAAAGCCTGCCACAGTGAATACAGGGGTTGTGGAGTGTTAGCCTGGGAGGCTTGCTTCTGAGTATTTCTTTCAGCTGCCACAGTGAGTATAGGGGGGTTGTGGACAGTTAGCCTGGGAAGTTTGCTTCTGAGCATTGGTTTTCACTGGCTAGAGGGCCACTTGCTTGTATCAGTTGACAAAGTGTTGTGGGAAGAACTACAATAAGTGTGGTAAATGCCAATTTTGTTCTAAAGTGATGATGAAGGTTCTCTCCTTTAGTGAAGATCCTCTGAGCTCTCTGCTTGATAAGGCCTGACCTCGGGGTTCCATCTCTGTCCCTGTAGAAGCCAATGTTAGCAAGAATCCTGCTCAGGATTCACCAGAATTTCTCACCCTCATTATCTGATCACTTGATATCTGATCAAATATCCTTATCACCCACTATCCTCCAGGTGTTATCTGATGATCCTGGGCTGCCTTTGGCAAGAATCCCGGTACCCCGATGTTTACTCTTAGTAATTTTCCATCTGCTGACATGCACCCCCTCCAATCCCAACCTGTTCTTTGGCTGTAATACCACTTGTCCATGCTGTATTTGGAATTTAGCCCAATTCTATACTGAGGTCTCTTTTTTCCTATTGCAGCAGATACTGGGTCAAATCAGTTTTTACTGATCTAGCTACTGTCCTGGCTCTGATTTTGTTTGACAGTGGTCAAATCCCTTCTCATATGTGGGTAGCCATGGCATTAGGAATCACTGCAGAAACTACTACACTACACATCACCTTACGGGACTTTGCTTATGTTGCTCAGGAAAATCTTTTTTTTTTTTTTTTTTTTTTTTTTTTTTTTGAGATGGAGTCTTGCTTTGTCACCCAGGCTGGAGTGCAGTGGTGCAATCTCGGCTCACTGCAACCTCCACCTCCCAGGTTCAAGTGATTCTCCTGCCTTAGCCTCCTGAGTAGGTGGGATTACAGGCATGTGCCACCACGCCCAGCTAATTTTTGTATTTTTCGTGGAGATGGGGTTTCACCATATTGGTCAGGCTGGTCTCAAACTCCTGACCTTGTGATCCACCTGCCTTGGCCTCCCAAAGTGCTAGGATTACAGGCATGAGCCACCACGCCCGGCTTAGGAAAATCTTATGTATACTTTTACCCCCCACCCCATCTCTATTCTTCAACCCCATTCTGCCTCTCCCCTCTGTCACCCCATCGCCCCAGGTCACTGAAGCAGGTATCTGGAAGTGAGATCTAGAAGTGAGAGTTCCAAATGAGCAGCATAGGAGGTTTCTCCCAAAGGTAATGAAACAAATTGGCTGAGGTTTATAATAGGAATGTGATAGTGGTGATTATATATATATTTTGGAGAGGGAGACTGAGACTGTGTGTTCTAAGGTTAAGTTGTACATGAATAATTTTAAACATTTAAAATATTATCTTCCTGATAAAAATATTTGATAACTCAATTTGGAGCAAGTCTAGGGGGGCATATAGAATGTGAATAGAAGATACCCAAGGAGGTACTTGGGAAAATTTCCTGGCCGGTTTGTTTGTTTGTTTGTTTGTTTTTTAGACGGGGTTTTGCTCTTGTCGCCCAGGCTAGAGTGCAATGGTGCGATATCGGCTCACCACCAACCTCCACCTCCTGGCTTCAAGCAATTCTGCCTCAGCCTCCCAAGCAGCTGGGATTACAGGCATATGCCACTACCCCCAGCTAATTTTTGTATTTTTAGTAGACAGGTTTCTCCATGTTGGTCAGTCTGGTCTCGAACTCCCAATCTCAGGTGATCCGCCCGCCTTGGCCTCCCAGAGTGCTGGGATTACAGGCGTGAGCCATCGTGCCTGGCCTGTTTTCTTATTATGATTAAAATAGATCGACTCTATTCAAGTCCTACCAGGAGATCCACTTTAAAAAATCTTTTCTCTCCTCCTATTTCCTATTACTTTGTCTTTCTATTTTATTTTCTCTTTTCAATTCCATTAAATGTCTAAGAATATTTTCCCTACTCTATTTTATAATTTCCTAGAACTTATTCCTGGTGTTTAAATGTTATTCATTTTTTTCTAGCAATCTATTATTGTTTAATGAATGCAATTATCTTCTTTTAAACATTAGTTTTACTTGTTTTTCTAGTCCCTGTACCTCTAAACTCCAAATTACTTTTTCTGTTTATTTTTGTCACCATCCTTTATGCTAATGCTGTCCTTAAAATATCTAGTGATCCATTGTCCATGTACATTTAAAGTGGAGTTATGAAAAACAGTCTATGGGTAGAAGGCATTTTGGCTAGTAGGCCGGTCAGCCTTTTAGTAGGGCAACTGATTTGAGGAATTGGCCATTTGGTTAAGGGATATTCAAGTGTCAGTAATTGTAGATCCTTTTTTTTGGCCTGGTTACTTTCATCAGAAAGAAATTACATTACGGCCTGATACTCTGTAATGGGAGCAGAGTGAAGTTAAGGGGAAGGTCACTGGGCTGCTAAACTCACTTTCATTTAACTTGCTTGTTTGAACATAGCCCTTAGCTATGCCTGGGGTCTCAAGTCCAGGGACTTGCCAATTTAATCATTCAAGTAGGGCCAGTCATCTGTCTGTGTAGGTTGGGTAGGGGTTAGCAAGGCCTAATTGCTCCTTGTCCAGACTCTCAACTGATTCTTCTAATTTTACCTCCACTTTGAATTCTACCCCTCAATTCAGTTGTGCTGGGAGCCTCCTATTTCTGCTTTTGGGTTCCCTACAGCCTGGCTTGCTAGCACTTTCATTTTAGCTACTTTATCTTTACTCAGCTAATAAGTATCTGCTTATTCTCTTATTTTCTTTTTTCTAAATTTTCATTGCTACTTTCTATCTACTGTTGTCTCTCATAATTTTTTTTGGGGGGGTGTAGGGGTAGAGCTATATATACTTTATACTTTTTGTTTCTTTAATCCTTACTGTCTTTTAGTGGCATTTTCATGACATAGCAGAAATAAACACATATCGTATCTATCATATTTATTTAGAAGTACGATTATTCACTCTCTTTAAATTTTAAGTGTTTAGAGACAGTCTTACTGCATTGCCCAGGCAGGTCTTGAATTTCTGGTCTCAAGTGATCCTCTTGCCTCAGCCTCCTGAGCTGCCGAGATTACAGGTGTGAGCCATCACACCCAGCTAACTCTTTCAATTTTGGGTAGTGGGCTAATGGTGGTATCAAGTGAAATAGAAATTTCATAAGTGTTTTTTAAAGTTTTAATATCATTACCAAAGAACAGGGCATATTGAATCAATTTTTTTGAAGCACGTTTCTAAATGACTCAGGCGGAAATTGGTGATCTATAAATTTATCAGAGTTATTAACTGTTGAAAGTTAAATCCAAAGAACATTAGAATCAATTCCAGATTAAGCTGTACCATCTTGGGCAAAATACTTTCTTCCTGGACCTCAGTAAAATGATGGCAATTAGATTACATGGCTTCTACGATTCCTTCTAGACTAAACATTCTGTAATTCTAGTACGTAGTTTAAAATTTCTACTTGAAGTCACCACTCCTCCAAATACTGTTAACTGAAGTGTGAAATGCACATCACTGGTCATCAAAGAAACAATTTTTAATGGTATAAGAATTAACATTTTAATTCATCATTATTTTATTTATATAATTATGAATTTTAATTTTTGTATCAAATTTGTAACTAGTACAACAATTTTTTTGTAACAGATTTACTTAAGTTTAAAAATGTGAGTTGACTTAAAATTGCAAAAGAAATAATGGAAGATGGTATGTGGGTATGATAAAGTTCTGAAGATGCCCCACAATAGTGCAGCTTCTGAAACATGGCCCTACCATGATGTCCTTTCAATGACTCTGCCTTTGCACACACGTTAGTTTTTCACTTGGCAAAATCTTTAAGTGTCCAGCTCAAAGGTTGCTTTTTTTACTGAACCATTCAAGGTAGAAGAGTTTCGTCTTCTAAAACAGTTCAGTTTATTATAAGTGATCTGTTTACATGGACCAGGGACTGTGTCTTATTCATCTTTATATCTCCAGTACATTGCTGTGCTTGAGTTTTAATGGATGCTCAATGAACATTTGTTGAAAGAATGAACCAAGTCAGTATATCACCTAATGTAATGGGCAAATGTTTCCTGTTCTTGATGTCTTTTCAGCACCTATCACTAACTCTGTGTGAACAGCCTCAGCCTTTATTAGTTCCAGAATACAATATCCACAAGGACACAAATGGAGAAGAACAGGCTTGATGTGAGAGGTCAAAAATAAACAAAAACTCTTGGAAGCTGTTGAGACTAGTCTTGGATCCCTGTGAAGTTCAGAAAGGATATATTTCAAACATGATTGAAATTTGAGAGTCTGAGATACTAGGGTCCCTGGGATGAACAGCTCTTCCATAGAAATGGACATTATCTTTCATCAGAGCAATTTATATTTTGTAGACTTTATACTATGAAATCGAAAGTTTACAGTAGTTTGAATTTACAAAGCATTTCTGTACACATCATTTAATTTTATCCCCACAATAATGCTTTGCTGTTGGCCTGTTATAACAGAAGGGGAAAGTGAGGGTAGAAAAGTTAAATAATTTTCCAAATATCACCCAGCTAGTAATTGCCTAGAACAGGGGTCAGCAAACTCTGATGGGGTGGGTGGAGGCAAGTCTGGCCCACTGCCTGTTTTTATAAATAAAGTTCTTTTGGATCACAGATGTCCCTAAGAGGGCTTAAGTCTATTTTACACATGAAGAAAAACTTGAGGCAAAGAAATGGTTATTACTTCACAATGTCACACAGCCAGACAGTGGCTAAGCCAGCACTCAATCACACCCAGTATCCTAACTCCTGAACCTTTGCGTTAGCAACTGCACTAGAGCTAGCTCTGGTGTCCAAATCCTAGCTCTAGTTTTGTGACCTGGGGGAATTTACTCCCTTAATCTCTTGTAAATTAACACGTGTTAAATGCTTAAGACAGGGCTTGGCACATAGTAAAAGATTCAATGAAATGATTATTTTTAAAAATTAACATTAAAAGCCTTTCATTATCCTGTTTCTTTCTAATAGTAAAAATCAAATCAGTACTGTGGCCTAGATGGTCTACATATGCTGTCTTGTTTAAGTTTGTAGCAGCCAATTATAAACCTCGTTTTAGAAGGAAAAGGAGAGGTTCTGAAGGGGTAAATAATTTACTCTGGTGTCGATTCCAATTCTCTCTGGTTTTTAAACCCACCTTCGCTGCACTACTTCTGGTCTCATCTCTTTCCCCCGCAGGAACTCGGTACTTGGGGGAAAAAAAAAATGAATGAATCATCTCTCCCTTCTCCCCCAACCAACCAACAAATTAATCGACCACCATCAACAAAAGGTAGGCATATTCACTCTGCTCAAATGCATCTTGGGCTTGCCTGCCTTGATTCCTTTAAGCAAGCTATTTCTGGAATCCGAAATATGCTATCTCTGCTTCTCTCTTTACTGAAATCCTATTTATCCTTCAAAGTCAGATTCAAATAGCACTGAATCCTCAAAGACTTCTCTTATCACCAAAGACAGAAGTGGTTTGTTCTCCTCAGAATCCAATGGTGTTTTGGTTTGTACCATGCTTATGAAATGCATATGGCGTATACTGATTGATAGTATTTTTTTGTACGTACTTTAAAGTACTCTCAGAAATTGGTAATGTTAAGCCATTTTCTAGAGGAAGGTGGGGTATATAGAAATACCAAATAAAAAAAATTGACACTTCTAGTACAATATACTAGAATGCTTCTTTTTAAAAATATCTCAAATTATTGTTTTGTATGCACTTATTAAGATACTTCCTCTGCACATTAAATGGTAAGAACTCAGTATTTACTCACTCTGGATCTCAAGTTCTTTTTATAATGTCAATTTCATATTTCCATTAGCTCAGTACAATTAATTTAGAAGCACCAAGATAAAGATAAATAACATAGAATAATTTATTCAAATATCTTATTTCTATGTTCCTCATTTGAAAGTGTCTACGTCTATTTTATATTCTGTGTTTAGCAGCTTACATATTTTGTTATTTGAAAAAAACAAAACAACTTTTGGTAGATTGCAACCCACCTTTGTAATACTTGTAATATGAGTGATTTATCATTCAAAATGAATCCTTTTAAAAAACCAGGGCATGATGATCTATTTATTTGCGTTCATATGTTATCAGCAATCTCAACTTGGTTTTGCAGCCTCTGCTTTACTTTGAATTTGATTTGTCTAATATAATTCTTAATTGGAAATGGAGAATGCTTTACCAATAAAATATCATCTATCTGAATTAGCATCACAGGTTTGGGAGGGGCAGTTTGAGAGAAAGCGTCAGTTTGAATTAGTGAAGAACTGCATTATAGAAATTTTTTAAATAAATGCATCTTAAGTATATCAGCAACCAACTAACAGTATCTTCTAGTAGAGGCTTTAATGCCCATTTTTAATTAGAATTTTATATTTGCATGATAATAAAATGTATTCAAAATTTAAGTTTATTGTTAGTAGGCAATTCTTTTTGGTTAAAACATAAATGTGCCACATAAGTGGTTTCTTCTTGATATATTTAATTCATGATAAATTCTCACAGATTCTGAATTTGCAGCTGGTTTACTAAAATACATTCTATATCTACAAAATATGCCTGTATGACTTTAATCAAGACAGTGAAGTCATACCACATAATCTAATTGTTTGAATTATGGTTATAGAGATTTATCTTTTTTTAATTCAATTTTTTTGAGATGGAGTCTTGCTCTATTGCCCAGGCTGGAGTGTGGCGGCGCAATCTCAGCTCACTGCACCCTGTGCTTCTTGATTCAAGCAATTCTCCTCCCTCAGCCTCCTGCGTAGCTGGGGTTATAGACACCCACCACCACAGCCAGCTAATTTTCGTATTTTTAGTAGAGATGAGGTTTTGCCATGTCGGCCAGGCTGGTCTGGAACTCCTGACCTCAAGTGATGGGCCAGCCTCAGTCTCCCAAAGTGCTGAGATTACAGGCATGAGCCACAGTGCCCAGCAGAGATTTAATCTTAAAATACAGTTTGGTAACACTTGCAGGCAAGCTGAGAATTTATCCATGCCACCCATCTCATTCATATTAGTGCTTTTGTAGTCATCTTAAAAGTAGAAAGGGTTGGATGACCAGATTATCTGATGTCGATTCCTTCTTAAAGGAAACTTGGTGGTTCTCAAGACTTAGTGTGCATAAGAACATCCCAAAGAATATTAAAAAAAAAAATGAGTACTGTACTTCATAGGCAATATAAATGACTTTCAAGGCCAATTTTAACTAAGTGCAATTCTTACCTTGTGTACTGCCTTAAAACATAACCTTCATAGTGTGCGCTATCATTAGCCTTGCCCAGTGTCTCTCATGAATGGGTTTCAACTTACCTTTCAGTTCCATCAAAAGCTGCACTCAGGGGCCTGGCTCAGTGGCTCACGCCTGTAATCCCAGCACTTTGGGAGGCTGAGGCGGGTGAATTGCTTGAGGTCAGGAGTTTGAGATAAGCCTAGACAACACGGTGAAACCTCATCTCTACTAAAAATACAAATATTAGCCAGGTGCAATGGATAATTTTTAGCCTGCAGTCCCAGCTACTTGGGAGGCGGAGGCAGGAGAATCGCTTGAACCCGGGAGGCGGAGATTGCAGTGAGCCGAGATCACGCCATTGCACTGCAGCCTGGGCTACAGAGCAAAACTCTGTTTCAAAAAAAAAAAAACTGCACTCAGTCATACTGATGCAGCCTTACATCTCCCAACATGAACATACCATGCTTCTGAATTTTTTCATTATTTTCCATATAGAATTAAAATGTGATCATATTAATGAACTTATCCTTTGAGACTCAGCTTAAACCTTGCCTTCTTTAGGAACTCTTCTTACACCTGCCCTTTACCAATTATTTCTGTATGCTTCTGGAATAGTACTTATCAAGTTGTGTTTTATATTTCCTTTCTGGTCTTCCATAATACACTATAAATTAGTAGTGATGTGTACAATAAACACTTAAAATGTTTATTGATAAATTATAGAATAAACTTAAATATTTGTAATAATGACTCTTTTGGTATCATATACAATCCTTTATGTTTTGCTTGTTTCACCTGATCCCGAAAATAATTGGAAAATATAGTGTACCTGGATCGAAATAAATATCTGATTGCTAAAATATGCAATTTAAAAAGGTTATGAGATATCTGAAAAAGCTAAATAGAAGATAATTAACATACTTTAGTTCATACTTCTAAAGAATCAGACCTCAATATACAAGGGACAGTTGCAAAAGTTCATAAAGTAGAAGTAATAATGTTTGTCTCCATAGCTAAAGTAACCATACGTCTGGGGCTGCTCAGGATGGTCTCTGTGCCTGATAGCACCTCCTTTCAATTCTTACAAGTGCCCTAGTTTGGGTGATAAAATATATTGTCACCCTGTATAGTCTCCAATAATGAACTTAAGACTGTAATGGGGAACCCAAAAATCCTGTGGAAAAAAATCATGTCGAGAGAACCAACTCTTCAAAGGCAGTATCTACAGATATTTGTTATATTATAGACCGTAATATATATTAGCATGAAAGGGACTCACAAGTGATTAGGTCATAAATTCAAGCTAGGTCCCCAAAGTTACGAGATTTAGAATCCCTTGACATTATCTCATTTTACTGAATTGTACCCGCTTGTGCTAAGTGATGAGGTTACTGTGTTTCTTAGCCATCGAGATTTTGCCCGGATTTTCCTGTTGCCACTTTATGGCATTTATACTACATTTGTATAGCACTTTCCAGTATACAGAACATGTTCATGTACATATTATATTTACAGTACTACAAGCTTTTCATTTAAGTGCTGTGATTTTTAATATTTATTGTGTCAGAAATGAAGTATTTGTTTTGCAGCAATCGATGTTTCCTTGGCTTCTAAAGGGGATAAAGCTTGTAAAGTTAACATTTGTCATGATTTATACATAGTAAAAGGGTTAATGTGGCTAAACCTGCTAATATGGTGATTGTTTTTAGCTATTAACTGGTTTGGGCTAAATGCAGAGTAAAGTTTTAGAACTGTCCTAACATACTAGGTTGTCTTGTATGTTCTGATAGATAATAGTGTATCCCATGTTACTAAATAAGCATTATAGTATCTATTAACTTGATTCCTATCAGAATGTTACAATAGACACTGTTTATATAACTGAAGAAAAATTTCTATCTGTATATGGGGTAGTGAATGCTAAGTTTAAGAAAAGTACAAATAATAATACTGGCTTACCTTATGTTACTGACTGAATGTTTGTCCTTCTCCCCTTAATTCATCTGTTGAACCCCTACCCCACCCCCATGTGATTGTATTTGGAGATATGGCCTGTGGGGAGGTGGTAAAATCTAAATGAGGTCATAAGCATGGGGCCCTGATCTGATACAACTGGTGCCCTAATAAGTGGTAGAGAAACCAGAGCTCCTTCTGTCTGACCATATGAGAATACACTGAGAAGCCAGCTGTATGCAATCCAGGAAGAGAGCCCTCACCAGAAAATGAACCATGCTGACACCTAGATCTCAGACTTCCAGCCTCCAGAACTGTGCTAAAATAAATTTCAGTTGTTGAAGACATATAGTTTGTGGTAGTTTGATGGCAGCCTGAGCAGACTAAGATTCCTTAGGTGAGCAGTTAGTGATATTAAAGTGTTTCATCATAATGTAACTTTAGTCCAAAGATTACAAGGATGAAAACTGCTTGGAAAAGTAAACCAAAAAGTCTAATTACCATTTCCCTTAATTATATAATTACATAGTTTTTAAAAAGTTAACTAAATTTAAAAGTATAATATTACTGTATCTTTTTTTTTCTAAACCCAAAGGACTTTCCACCTGGTTTATCTATTTTTAAATGATGATAATATTATATGAGTTCAGAAAAATTTCCTTGGTGAATTACTGTTAGCTGATTGCTGACGCTAGAAAACTTCCAAATAGTAAGCAAAGCTTTTCATGTTACAATTTTTTATAAAAAAGGCTTAAAATGATAATAGCATGTTCATTTATGATACTCAAGTAATAAATGATTAATTTTAGAAGCTTTTCAATAGAGAGATTGAAACAGAAATCCAAAGCTCTAGAGAGTAGATCCAGCCATTGAAGCAAAGGTTATAAAAAATGTCATTGAAGGGGACACTTGCGTATTTCAAACTTTGCCACAGTTGGTTTTGACTGTTAGAATATGGGATGGTGTTAAATCAAAGAGATTGAAAGGGTGTGAAGGATACTGATGGGGCCTGGTTCTTATATTCTTGAGTGAGCAGTAGGAATGAGAGCTGGGATAACAGCAAATCTAGTGTGCCTGCCACACACCACCCTAGTGATCTTGCTCTACTCATTTCTCCAGACTCATCTCATGGTATGTCTGGCTTCTGAAATATTGAAAGTTCCCTGAACGTGCAATGTGGTTTCATGCCTCTGATTTTTCATACATTCTGTCTGGAATGCCCTCTCCTTCCAATACTGTCAATGGAATGTTATTTCCCCTTTTCTATTCGTGTTGGAGTCCTCTGTCTCTTGGTCCAGCACAAACTGGTTGTTCCCTAAGTCTGCAGCAGAGCTATTATGCCAGGCCTTTCTTTAACTAAACTCTTGGGTTGGAGCTGCTGTACTTGGGACACTTTGTCTCCTCTTTGTTTTCGCCTTTGTTTTGCTGGAATGCACTTCTGAGCATCTTTCTAGGAATAGATGTCTGAGAAGTAAATATTAAGGTTATTGTATATCTAAACTTATCTGTGTTCTGCCATCATATTGATGGACAATTTAGCCAAATATGCAATCAATTTTTGTTTTATAATTTTCCCCTCAGAATTTTAAAGGTATGGTTCCAGTCCTACAATTGTATTAAAATGTTGTCTTTGTGTATTCGTATCAGTTATGCATTGCCTCAGACTACTTGATTTTTTTTATTGCATATTTCATTTTTCACTTCTAGAATCTGTTTGATTTATTTTCAAAACAGCAGCCCTCCCTCAAGTATTACACACTTAGCCCAGGGTGATATATTTGGTTATTCCCATGGAACATGGAGCTTCAAATCACTGTTGCAGTTGTTCCTGTTATTTATGTCACCTGGAGATTTCTTGCTTTTGATATGGGCTTTAATAAACTATTTTTAGACTAAATACTTTAACTTTTCATTTATTTGTGTTTGGAATAGAAAGAAGTGCTTTCCATGAATTAGCTTATTTTGTCATTTTGTTTAGAATCTTATTTTTAAAAATCAAATATAACAATTAGGACTCCACTCACCAAGATTGCTGATAAATTGCGGTAGCATCTTTTGGTGTCCTGTACAAATCCTCTGTGTCCACCCTGGAAGTTTCTCACAGAGGATTTCAGCTTCCTGTGTTTCTCTGAGCGCATTCTCTGCAGTGCGGATAACCTTGGGGGCAAGTTGACTGCGTGGTAGAAGTTATGCTCAGCAGTGACTCTCAATTACAAAGAGAGAAGGGTTGATGGATAAACTGCAGATTCTTTGCCCTCCACTGAGTTCTACATGGTCTCTCAGAGGGTCACCAGTAAGACTGGACCCCATTTGCCCACAACAGTAACTTGTTCTTTACTCTCCAGTGCTTCTGCTGGCTTTTCTTTCTGACTACAAACTTCCTCATGTTGCTTCCTGGAATCACTTCCAAAATAAGCTATTTGTATCACAATACTGACTTTGGGTATATTCAAAGATACAAGTTCAACAATGTCTATTTTGGGGATACTCAATCTCATTTCAGAGTTGTATAGGAGCTGCAGAAACTTGTAGATGTCCTCACACTTGTAGGGTTTCTTAGTCGTTTTCACAATTCTCCTGACTTTCCAGCTGCCATTGTTTGGTGTTGCTCCTTCACTGTATATGGCTCCATATGAAATGAGCCTTCCTTGCTCTGCTTCCTGCTTAGGTAATGTGATAACTCATCATTACTGTAAGAGGCTGTCAGCAGACTTACTTTTTTCATGTCAAGCTCATCTGTGGGAGACTCTGCTTGGGTTCCCAACACTCCAGCACTATCCCATCTATGGTCTTCTAGTATGCAGATCATTCCTTGCAAAGAATGGGCCTGCTTGAGTCCAGTGCCCATTTCTGGACAAGGGTCTGGAGAATCCTTTTGACCAGTCACATCTACTCCTGTGTCGTATATGGAATTTGTAATTGTCAATACTGTCAGACAAGGGAGAGACAAAAGAAAAGGGGGGTTTTACACCAGAATAGAGGAGGAATTCAGAACAGGAAGAAACAATGGATGTCTACTAGGTTTCACCTCTTGGATGCCCACATATGTGTACACATACACTTACAATCTCAAACATGTTCCATTAGCATAAAGCAGCTATTGTATGTAACCTCAGATATGCACTCACCTTCTCATAAACAAATATCAAAGTCTCATCCATTTCTAGGCTCTGGATTTCTGAATGGTATAATCTTGTTATGTGGAGATATATATCTTAATCATGTAGCAACTTATGCCTAACTTACACATTTAACCACCCAAAGACACCCAGGAAGTAAGGTATACGGAAGACAGGATGACTGCAAAAAATATTTCCCTTTTGAAAAGGGAAAACAACAGTTGTGGTCTCTGTCCCCAGCATAGTCCATCCCTTCCCGGCAGGGGAGTGTATTCTTGATTAGCCTCACATTTCCCAGCAGCATCTTGTATGGCCAAATTTGACAGATGGTTTGGGGAACATTTCCCTGGCAGATGCTTGGCAATATTTCTAAGAGATACTATGTGTTTGCTTAAATTCTTGTTGAGCAAGTGCCTAAATCAAGAAATATCAAAGCATGGTAGAAGTTGTAAGATTTATCTGCCTGAACTACCGATCTTGCTAAGTTATCACTGCTTCTGAGCCACAGGAGTACCCCCAGGGAGAACTATAACACTGTATTTTAGGGTTTTTTTGATTTAATAGATCCTTTTAAAACCAAACTGAGCTAAAGGACTGTACTTGTTCTATTGATTGTCAAACATTGTTTTTTTTTTTTTTATTTCAACATATTGAGTGAGTTTGTAGAATGCTCACCAAGCTGCTGGGGCTTGCCAATTAAAGCCCACATTGAAATGTTATTAAAAAGAACAGTTTATTGTAATCACAGATACTGTATGTAACATGGCAATTTGCTTCTTGAAAGCTAATTACAAAAGTTGTTTGAAATAATCAGGACCTTATTCAGCAGCTCAGGGATGAGAACAGCTATATAAATACTCACTACAGCAGCAACAGCAAAAGAGTAGGGTGGGAAAAAAAAATAGGTTAGTTAAAAGTTCAAACAAAGATTAAAAAAACAAAATAGAAATGAATTCCCTTAGCTCTTTTCAGGGACTGTAGTGAACACTCAAGGACATAATGTTCCAGATTTTCAACAAAATATTGAAAGACACTTTTGACATGACAATAGATTCTATTAGAATTATAAAGCTGAGTATCTATTTAATTAATTGCATCTAAACTTCCTGGAACTCTCCCATACTCACAGTAAACTCTTGTAGCCTGTTGAATCATGTTAATTTTCTCTAGAGAAAGGGTGCAAAGTGGTACCAACAAAAGAGATGGCATTTAAAGTCCAACAGTCTCACTAAATGGAATAAACTGGCATCTATAATATAATGTCAGTAAACCTGTTCTGTTGTTTTGCATGGCCATTTGTAAGCGTAAGTTATGCTATTCCACCAGTGCTCAACACTTTGTTCCAGGGACCTGGCTGTGCATAACTAAGAAAAGCATGTTTCTTAACTGAGTGAGCAGCTGTACTCCTAGAATATAATTTAGTCACTCTATTTTGCTATGAGTTAAGGCCCAGTGGCATTGTCCCCAAAAGGAAAAAAATCACAATTTCACAAGTTAGTGGAGCCTCAACAGTCCAGAACATGTACCTTCAAGATTAAGTGCCAAAATGGCATAACCATTTCAGCAGGGTGAGCTTTTCAATCCACCATATTGCTAGTCATAGATTTCAAATATATTGTAAGAATCACTTGATTTGTAGCCTCTTTTGATCCACCTGAAAGCCAGTTCCTATACTTAAAAGGAAGTGTTCCTATTGTTCAAGGAAGTTTATTTTTTTTTACAAAAGAAAGTTATTTGGGCAACAGAGAAATAAGGTTATTTGTTGAATTAAAAGATCCCAGTGGAGTTATAAATATATATGCACACTGCGTAGGTAATCTCTACTGAGTATCACTTCTTAAAACTTCTTGACGGTCTCTCTACGCTCATAATAAATCCTGGCCAACCCTAATTAAATTGGGGTTCAAGATCCACTAGTATTGTATCTTTTACTGAACTGTTAACAGCCTCTTCTTTATTCACTAGAGTAGGTGGAATACACATATAAATAGCAAAGAACAATGCAATATTATCTTTTTTCTGGTAAAATATTTTTACATAGCATTTTCTTTTTATCCTACACTTAGAGTTATTTTCGATATTTAGTACAATCTAGAAGAAACAGAATATCATTGCATAATTGATACATTAAGAATTAAAGTATTTTGAATCATTTGAATATATATTTTAAATAAAATATATTTTGGTTTATAATCTTTCTTATCTGTGTGACTTAGCACAAGAATTAAGTATATACTTTTCTGAAAAAGACAAGTCTTAAATTAACATATCAAATAATTAAAAAGACACTATAAACCTTTAATTTACTAATTCATTGCTTAGCATGTATGCCTGATTCCTTTTGACTTCACTGTAATATTTGGTAACACTTTCATATAACTATATGTTCATCTAGAAATAATTTGTTGAAATGACTGTCTCTCCATTAGAAGAGCACCATTCCCAGGGGTCAGTAGCTTTTTTCCTTCCCATTTCCATATAGCATGGTATCAGGAATATGATAGGCTGTAAAAATTTATTGACTGTACGATAAATAATGCAAAAACTTTTATGAATTTCCTGTTTTTCTACGTTTTCCTTTTTCTTGGTTTCTTTCACAATGTATTTTCAATCAATAAATACAGTATTTATAGGTGTTGTCTATGTGCGAAGGATGGGTTAGGATCACAGATATACCAGAGAATAAGAAAGATGTGTTCCCTGGAGCTTCCTTTGTGAGGTGAATGCAAATACAGTTAATGTGCCCCATTTAGGACCAGTAGGACCACCAGGCTGTATATTTGGTCTGTTGTTGGAAACATTGCTAGGCAACTATATGAAAAAATAATAGTGTGGTAAGTGCCACAGAAGTGGAACTATGGAGTGCAAAAAAGGTTTATTACAGGGGATTAGAAATCTATTCTAAAAGACCGGAAAAGTCTTCTCTAAAAGTGAGATTTTAACTCAGAGTTGAAGGATAAGGAAGAGTTAGCCAGGAAAAATAGGTGAAGAAGAGTATGCTGGGAAGACAGCATCATGCTAATGTGCCTCTTACCAGTGGTCATACATTCTGAGAAATGCATAATTAGGTGATTTCATCTTTGTGCGAATTTCCGATCGGGCTTACACAAACCCAGATGGTATAGCCTACTATGCATCTAGCTATATGGTATAGCCTATTGCTCCTAGGCAAGAAACTTGTATAGCATGCTACTGTGCTGAATACTGTAGGCAGTTGTAACACAGTGGTAAGTATTTGTGTCTCTCAACATATCTAAACTCAGAAAAGGTAATCTTTGTGCTGCAACATTACAACGGCTATGACATCACTAAATGGTAGGAATTTTTCAGCTCCATTATAATCTGGTAGGACCACTAGGCTGTATATTTGGTCTGTTTGAAACATTGTCAGGCAACTGTATTAAAAAATAATAGTGTGATAAGTGCCACAGAAGTGGAACTATGGAGTGTAAAAAAAGTTTATTACAGGGGATTAGAAATCTATTCTGGGTGAATGGAAAAGTCTTCTCTAAGAAAGTGAGATGTTAACTGAGAATTGAAGAAGGAAGAGTTAGCCAGGAAAAGTAGGGGAAGGAGACAGAGCAAGGAAGAGATTTATAGCAGAAGGATCAGAAAGCTTGATGACTCAACTTCATTTATCTACATTTTTCAATGACTCTTTCTTAGTCTGTTCTAGCCTCCTGACTGTGGTATTTCCAAAAATATTTGTTCTTGATATTATGTTTCCTTGAAAAACTGATTTTCAGCACTTTTATAATTACCCACAGACCAATGGCTATCAAACATGCAAGCTCAATTTTAATGCATTGTACCTGGAACTATTAAAGATGCAAAAGATATTTAAATATACCTTGCAGAATTTGCAACAACACTGCTAGGGAAAAAAACTCAGACGGTCAAGATTCCATATGTATTATATACAATGGAATATTATTCAGCCTCAAATAAAATTCTGCTACTCGTGACAGCATGGATGAAACTGAAGGATGTAATGCCAAATACAAAGAGCCAGGCACAGAAATAGAAATACTGCGTGAGCTCATTTATATGTAGAATCTAAAAAAGTTGAACTTATGGTAATAATAGAATAGTAGTTACTTGGGGCTGGATATGGAGTGGGGGAAAGAGTGATATTGGTCAGAGGGTGCAATCTTTCAGTCATAAGATGAAGTCCTAAAGGTCTAACATATTGCATGGTGACTAGTTAATGTAATTTTGCCATGAAAAAAACTGCAATTGAAATTTAGCTTTTCTATTTGAAATAATGTTTCAAAGTCAAACGATAGAATATCTTTTGTTAAAAACTACTAGAATATTTTTCATTTTATTTTTCCTTGTGGGACTATGGTGAATAAAATTCCTTTCTCCACTTGTGCTAGTAAAATGATCTGTGGATCAGTAACAACCTATTAGCCTCTTTGTATTAGCTGAGGCTTTTGATTGAAAGCCACAAACCCAACTTAGCTTAAGACAAAAAAGAAAAAAAAAAAAAGAATACCCACAAAATACCAAAAATATGGGCTTACGAAATTCACTGAAGAGTAGCAACCGAATTTCAGAAAGGGCAGGAGGAACTAAGATAACCAGAACAGAGACTTAAAGGACAGCAGACTGCCATCATCTTCACTTTTTCCTGGCTGTTGGCTTCATTCTTATTCTTTGCAGACTACCTTTCTCCACTTGGTAAGACACATGGTAAGTGACAGCTCCCCACACTTAATTTTCAAATCTTCAGCCTCCAAATGAAGACTTCTGGATATCAGATTCCAAAACTCTAGGGAATGAACTCATTGGCCTACTTTAAGTCAGGTATACTGCTGGGCCAATCAACTGTCAACAAGTGTGGGTCATATAAGATAGGAACAAGTCAGCTCCTTTGTTACCAAAATAGTTGGATGGGATCAACAATACACGAAGAGTATGCTGGGAAGACAACATCACAGAGGCCCACTGACATTTCTGAAACCTTATTTATTCCAGGATCAATTAAGACGTCTCTGTAAAAAACATATATTTTTAAACAATGTAATTCTATTTAAGGCTATCATCAAATGGTAACTGTAAGTTCCCAAAGGCCTGGAGAGAATGCCTAAATACAGTACTTTTTACATAGTAGAAGCTTCATAAATATCTCTTGAATTATGTTAATTTAAGTAGCTATGTGCGTAAGATGCTGTGTAAAACTGGTTAGACACAGTTCTGTTCTTTTGGAACATACCCTCTAAAAGGGACTAGATTAGTACAGAAAAAGTGAATAAAACTGAGATAAAGGACTACCGTGGAAAACATTTTAGACCCCCATAGAAAGAAGACTTAATTTGGTATTTGCATTGTAATATTTCTATTTTGGTTTTTTTTTTGGCAAATTTCTTTTCTCTTGCTTTTTTTTTTTTTTTTTTTTTTAAAGACAGTTTCACTCTTGTTGCCCAGGCTGGAGTGCAGTGGCACGATTTCAGCTCATTGCAACCTTCGCCTCCTGGATTCAAGTGATTCTCCTGCCTCAGCTTCCAGAGTAGCTGGGATTACAGGTGCCTGCCACAACGCCCGGCTAAGTTTTTTGTATTTTTAGTAGAGGTAGGGTTTCACCATGTTGGCTAGGCAGGTCTCGAACTCCTGACCTCATGTAATCCACCCGTCTCGGCCTCCCAAAGTGTTGGGATTACAGGCATGAGGCACCATGCCCAGCCTTTTGGCATATTTCTTAATTGGTCCACTCCTCAGTTTTATCATCTTTGAGATGAAATAAAAATCTGTGTCTCAGATTTGGAAAACTCAAGGGAAAGCTCTTCATAAGGAGCTACGTAGATTTGAAAGATGATATTATTAGTGTGGCATATGGAATGAGCAGCAAAGCCTCGACCTTTTATCCCCCTCATCACAAAGTTCCTTTGTAGAGCTTTTTTCAAAAGCTTAGAAAACAACTACTAAGACAAATATTTGTGTTCTCTTCTTAATAATTAAAATAGGCTATTAGGTCAGAGCAATTAAAATACAAACATCAAGCAAAAGAAAAGAAAATGATGCTTTTCCAGGATAAAAGAAACCATTTGGCTCAGAGGATAGGGCAATCTGATGTTAATTGAGAAAATTCTTTCTTTCTCAATATCAGATAGGACTATGTAGTCTGAAAATGGTTAATGAGAGTTTTAAGTAGCTGTGCTTAAGAACTATTTGATGTCATTCGGAGTTCTGAGGCCTGAAGGTCTCACTGGCAAATAATATCGAAAGGAAGCTCAGACTGGAGAATCATGATCCCACTTTACAATAGCACTGGAGCCCACTTTCTTCTGTTTAAAGATCAACGTGATGAAGGCTGTACTTGGGGGCTCATGCCTGTAATCCTAGCACTTTGAAAGGTGGAGGCAAGGAGAATCATTTGAGGCCAGAAACTCAAGATCGACTTGGGCAACATAGCAAGGCCCTGCCTCTACAAAAAATAATAAAAATATTAGCCAGGTGTGGTGGTGTGCACCTGCAGTCCCAGCTACCCAAGAGGCAGAGGATCATTTTTGAGCCCAGGAGTTCAAGGTTGCAGTGAGCTATGATCACATCACTACATTCCACCCTAGGACACAGAGAAACACCCTGTCTCTAGAAAATAAAGATCAATGTTATGATGGGTGTTATTGTCTACTGGCTGAAGCATTCCCAGGAGCCTCTTAAGCCTGCTTGATTCACACTTGGGCATGGTATTGGGTGAAGGGAAGAAGGATCCATAGGAAGAGATTTCTTTCAATAGGAGGAGGTAGCAGTTTCCCCAAGGAAAAAAATTTGGAAATTCATAGTTAACATTGTACGTGTGTGTATATGTGTGTGTTGAGTACATTTAAGATCTACTTTCTTAACAGCTTAAAGTATGTAATACTGATATGGCTTGGCTATATTGACCCCCAAATCTCACCTTGAATTGTAATAATCCTCACATGTGGTGGGAGGGAACTAGTGGGAAGTAATTGAATCATGGGGATGGGTTTTTCCTGTGCTGTTCTCATGATAGTAAGTCTCAGGAGATCTGATGGTTTTATGGGGAGTTCCTCTGCACATGCCCTCTTGCCTGCTGCCATGTTAGACGTGCCTTTGCTCTTCCTTTGCCTTCCACCATGATTGTAAGACCTCCCCAGTCATGTGGAACTGTGAGTCCATTAAACCTCTTTCCTTTATAAAATACCCAGTCTTGAGTATGTCTTTATTAGCAGCATGAGAACAGACTAATACAAATACAGTATTTTTTTTTTCTGTTACCATGGGTAAGTTGCAATCCAGTATTATTAACTACAGTTACTGTGTTGTACGTTAGATCTCCAGAACCTATTCATCCTGCATAACTGAACTTTGCAGACTTTGACCAACATCTCCCTATTTCCTGCAACCTTTATCCCCTGAAAACCACCACTCTGCTTTCTGTTTCTGAATTCAACTTTTTTACATTATATAAATGAGATAATGCAGTATTTATCTTTCTGTGCTTGGCTTATTATTTTTTTTTTCTAGCATGACGTCCTTCAGGTCCATTCATGTTGTCGTAAATGACAGAATGTTCTTTTTTAAGGCTGTATAGTATCCATTGTGCATGTATATATATACATATCATGTTTTCTTTATCCAGCTATAATGAACACTTAGGTTGTTTCCATATCTTGGTTGTTGTGAATAATGCTGCAATGGACATGAGAGTGCAGCTGTCTCTTTGACATACTGATTTTATTGTTTTGGATATATATCCAGAAGTGGGACTCCTGGATCATATGATAGTTTTGTTTGTTTTTATTTTTTGAGAAAACTCCATACTGTTTTCTATAATGTCTGTACATACATATATATATTCGGAAGGCTGGGGGTGTACAAGTGTTCCCTTTTCTCCCCATCCTTGCCAATGCTTGTTATCTTTTGTCTTTTTGATCATAGCCATTCTAATAAGTGTGAGTGATGCCTCGTTGTGGTTTGAATTTTTAGTTTTTTGATAATTAGAGATGTTGAACATTTTATACTTCTTGGCCATTTCCATGCCTTCTTTTAAGAAATGTCTATTCAGGTTATTTGCCCATTTCTTAAGTAGGCTATGTGTTTTCTTGGTATTGGGTTGTTTGTGTTCTTTATATGTTTTGGATATTAACCCCTTATCAGATGTATGGTTTGCAAATACTTTCTCTCTTTCAATAAGTTATCTCTTCACTCTGTTGATTGTTTCCTTTTCTGTTAAGAAGCTTTTTAGTTTGATGCAATCCCATTTGTCTACTTTTGCTTTTGTTGCCTGTGTTTTTGGAGTCATTAAAAAATCATTGCCCAGATCAATGTCAAGACGAGATTTTTTTCTATGTTTTCTCCCAGTAGTTTTACAATGTCAGTATATAAGATCATGTTACCTGCAGACAGAGACAATTTCACTTGTTCCTTTCTGATATGGATGCCTTTTATTTCTTTTTCTGACCTAGTTTCTCTGATAAGGATTTCTAGTACTATGCTAAATAGACATGGCAATAGTGGGCATTCTTGTCTTGTTCCTGATCTTAGGGAAAAAACTCTCAACTTCTCACTGCTAAGTATGATGTTAGCTGTGGGCTTGTCATCTATGGCCTTAGTATGTTAAATTTATCAAATTTTTTTTTGCATCTATTTAGATGATCATGTTTTTTATCCCTCATTCTGTTAATAGGGTGTATCACATGTGTTGATTTCCATATATTGAACCATTCTTGCATTCTAGAGATAAATACTGCTTGATCATGGTGTATGATCCTTTTAAAGTGCTGTTGAATTGAGTTTGCTAGTATTTTGTTGAGGATGAAGGGTTTGAATTTGCAATAGAAAGATTTAAGGTGGTACTTGGAAAATGAGACACAATCCTGAGAGAGTGCAGAGGGGAGTGGGCATTTTGGACCAGAGGATTAGGATTTACATTTTTGTCTGCCTTTACCTTATAGTTAAAAGAATGTATAATTTAGCTAGAACTTTAACCTTTTCCTTCATACCACAATTCTCTTGAAATTGTCTTAAAATTTTAGTAGAGCAATTCATATACACTCAAGGCTAATATTCAGTATACAATGTTATGGCCATACTCATTGTTAAAATATTTAAATTCTTTCTTATGCTATTCTGAGATTCTCAAAATGTTACTTTTTGTACCATCTCAGCCACTCTAGACTCATTCCTAGGACCCCCCTCTCCTCAGAATCCAGAAAGTAAATGATTAACTGCTGGCATAGAGCTGGTTAACTGCTAGAGGTCCTAGAGACCCTTATCTTTTCTTATAGGTTCATGCTTCTGCAGAGCCAGTTGTTAAATCTTTTGAATATCACTCCATCTTTTTATCTGCACAAACCAATGTACTAATCTTGGGGATTCTGAAGGTACAGAAAGGTGAGTAATGAGAGCTTGTTTCACACCCATCTCTTTTTAAGGTCCACTGATGATAGATTCCCTCCAATCAAATAGATGGCTACTTCTAGGTCATAATCACCTCTACTTCAGAGGGCTGGTCATAAGAAAAGTGAGAGCTGAAATAAAGCTTATATAGCCAAACAAGCACTCTAGAGAGGGCAGATGCAAGAGATAGAGCTTTCTGCTTACCTCTTAAATTAGAAGGTGGAGTGAGGCATGGTTCTGAATTATATTAGATATTGCTGAACAGAGACATAGGCATCCAAATATCTTGGGTGGACAGTTTGTTCTAATGTCAATAATGGGTTGAATGGTGAGGTGAATGCATTTACAGTTTTGTCTTCCAAGGGTCCATTTTCTAGTGTCCAAATTTGTAACATAGTCAAGAAATATTTGTACAGATCCAGGTAGCCTTTATCGATGGGACGCATTATAGAGAAGCTGCCCATGAGTTTTCAATTGATATTAGAGAATGATTAGGACCAGTATCTTAAACATATATCGATTTAAGTAATTAAGATTTTATATATAAATAAGTTGTCCAGAACCCTGTAGTGACCAGAAGCTATTACATTGCTTTGAATCATGAAAAATTACTCATTGTTTTAATTATGTCTTTTACTACCTTCTCCTCATCTGGATGAGGTATACATATCTAAAAAAAATCATATAATAGTATATCTGGAAGGAAACTTGAGTTCATTCATTCAAAATTCCTAGTTTTAGGCTGGGCACGGTGGCTCACACCTGTAATCCCAGCACTTCGGGAGGCTGAGGCAGGCAGATCACTGAAGGTCAGGAGTTCGAGACCAGCCTGGCCAACATGGTGAAACCCCGTCTCTACTAAAAATACAAAAAAAAATTAGCTGGGCATGGTAGTGCAGACCTGTAATCCCAGCTACACGGAAGACTGAGGCAGGAGAATTGCTTGAACTCGGAAGGTGGGGTTGCAGCGAGCTGAGATCACGCCATGGCACTCCAGCCTGGGCAACAAAACGAGACTGCCTCTCAACAAACAAACAAACGAAAAACAAAATACCTAGTTTTAGAGACAGAGAAACTGAAGTAACATTTAAAACCTGCATTTTCCAAAACTAGATCCAGTGTTGTTTCTACAACAGCACTTAGGTCAAAAACAGCATACGGTTATTTCTATGACTACTTAGGTTAAATGTAATAGATCATATACAAGCAGTACCGTTACATTGTTGAAGGTCAGGGACACCACTCACACTGGTACGTGAAGAAGGTTGATTTGTAATTGATTTATTCAGAATAGCTATTGAACACCATTATGTGCTGGAACTGTGATGGGGAAGCATGCATACACACCCTGGTGATTCATGTGCATTGAGTGCAAATTATGTGAAGAACATGACAAGGTGAGACTGGAACCCACATTCCTTTGTTAATTCATTCATGCTCCACTCACTAGGCTGGCTGAACCTGGGCAATTCCTTGCCTTGGTTAACTCAGTCTGATAGAGCATAAAACTCTTGCTCTCAGAATTATGGTGGCCATTGTTGGATGTCATCACGCTTTCTCTTCTCCTCAGGTCTCCTTGTTTTATTTGCATGATTTACAAAGGATCTGGGAATACATTAGTGAAGGAAACAGATAAGGTCTTTGACTTCATGGAGTTACAGTGTTACAAGGGAAAGAGACGTTAAACAGGTAATTAAATAACCAATTATTTAATTGCTGTGGTGATTATTCTGTAAAGTACAAGGTGAAATACAGCTTTTACTGTACTCAAAGTTATACTAGGTCTAGAAATTGAATAAGTCCTAGTCTGATTTCCATAAGGAGATTAGTAATAGTGATCAGTTATCAGTGTCATACACTTCATATAATTGTTGAGAATCCTCATAGCAACTCTGAAAAGTAAATATTTCCCCCATTTTACTGGTGAGTCAACAGAGGCTCAGAGAGCCTAACATCTTCCTAATGTTTTTTATAGTTAATAATGTCAATGCTGGGATTTGAACATCGGCCTTTCCAACAGCTAAACTCGTGGGCTTTCCATTATTACATTGGTTCTATGGGCAGGATACCTGAGGTGATAGGAAAGTGGGGAACTTATTCTCTCAACCACGAAATATAAGGTTTCTTTTTCTTTGAATTGCAAGATTATGTTATCCTTAAGCTCAATAAATATGTGCTAATTAATGGGACTTTTAAGTTACAAAAATGCTCCCTTCTTTCTGCCTTTAAAGCCCACACATCTTGATATGCTGAGTACAAAACTGGTGGGAGTTTTTATGGAAAAGACTGGCGGTGCCTTTTGCTCATTTACTACTAACAAAGCATTTTTAATGTCTCATCCAAAGCCAGAATTTCATGTATTGTATTGTTAGAACAACAGTCCCTCCACTGAACTGAATTGTTGTTCTCCTTTTCAAGCACACTCTTCTGTAACAGGAATAAGGTTTGTAGCTGCTGTTTTTGCATCTATTACTTGGTCCCGCATTTCTAATTGCAAGTGAAAGTTACCCTGCTAATTGTTGCATAAATCACCTAGTGTTCAATCATATGGAAAATAAGGTGTAATTTTATAATTAATAATATAATAACACTTCCCAAACTATGATTATGAAGCAATATGGAGAAGCTATTCTTCCCACAGAAAGGAAATAAATTCAAAGCTGAAAGGCTGGTTATTCATGTAGGGTTTATAGCAGTGAATTTTTTTGTCTGTTTTATTAAACTATACATGATATAAAATTTACCTTTTTACTCGTTTTAAAGTATATAGTCAGTGGCATTCGGTTGTAAACCAAAAAGCATCTGAGACAAGTCTCAATCAATTTAGAAGTTTCTTTTGCCAGGTTAGGGACATGCCCATGACACATAGCCTCAGGACATCCTGACGACATATGCCTAAGGTGGTTGGGCTACAGTTCGGTATATAGTTTAGGGAGACCTAAAACATCAATCAATACTTCTAAGATATACATTGGTTTGGTCTGGAATGGTGGGACAACTTGAAGCAGGGAGGGAGGTTTCCAGGTCACAGATTAATTGAAAGGTTTTCTGATTTGCAGTTGGTTTAAAAGAGTATCTAAAGACCTGGAATCCACGGAAGGGAATGTCTGGGTTAAGATAAGGCATTGTGGAGACCAATGTTCTTATACAGATGAAGCCTCCAGGTACCAGGCTTCAGAGAGAATAGATTTTAAAGGCTTCTTATCAGACTTAAAAAGGTGCCAGACTCTTAGTTAATTCTCTCCTAAATCAAGGAAAAGACCTGGAAATGGAAAGAGATTTTATATAGAATGTAGATTTTCCCCACAAGAGATAGCTTTGTAGGGTCATTCCAAAATATGTCAAATAAATATATTTGAAGGTAAAATACTTTGATTTCTTTCAGGGCCTGCTATCTGTCATGTGATGCTGCACTAGAGTCAGGCTGGAATTTGATATCTTATTGCTACAAAAAGTCTTAAGATCTCTTTTAATATTAATGCTGTTCGGTTGTGCATGAATTCCAAAGGGAGGAAGGTATAGTGAGTCACGTCCGAGCCCCCTTCCCGTCATGGCCTGAACTAGTTTTTCAGGTTAACTTTGGAATGCCCTTGGCTGAAAGGAGGTGTTTATTCAAAAAGTTGGGGGGCTCAGAATTTTATTTTTGTTCTTATTCTTAGTTTACAAAGTACATTTACATTGTTGTGCAAACATCACTACTACTCATCTCCAGAACTTTCTCATCACTCTGAAATGAAACTCTGAAAGGGCGTGGTGACTCACATCTGTAATCCCAGCACTCTTGGAGGCCAAAGTGGGAAGATTGCCTGAGGTCAGGAGTTCGAGACCTGCCTGGGCAACATGGTGAAACCCTGTCTCTACTAAAAATACAAAAATTAGCTGGGTGTGGTGACGCATGCCTCTAATCCTAGATACTCAGGAGGCTGAGGCAGGAGAATCGCTTGAACCCAGGGGGCGGAGGTTGCAGTGAGCCGAGATCACACCACTGCACTCCAGCCTGGGCAACAGAGCAAGACTCTGTCTCAAAAAATAAAACGAAACTCTGTACCTATTAAAAAAATAACTCCCCATTTCCCCCTCCCAAGACCCTGTTATCCACCATTCTACCTTCTGTCTATATAAATCTGACTCCTCTAGGTATCTCATCTAAGTGGAATCATACAATATTTGTGAGGTTTTTTTTGGTCTGGCTTATTACACTTAGCATAATGTATTCAAGGTTAATTCTTGCTGTGACGTGTCAAAATTGCATTCCGTTTTAAGGTTAATATTCCATTGCAAGTATATATACACTTTTTGTTTATCCATTCATTCTTTGGTGGACATTTGGGTAGCGGTAAATTTTGAATCATCTTAATATAATGAATGATTATCTGTGTAGAAAGTGAGGTAAGGAAATGAAAATATTGTACTTGAAAAGAAAAAGGAAAGGACACATGATTCTGAGCTGTACTGTTCAATACAGTGGCCACGCTTGACATGTGGCTAATCTGAAATGAGACGAGCTGTAAATGTAAAACATCCACTGAATTTAAAAGACATGGTATGGAAAAAAGAATGTAAAAACAGCTCATTAATAATTTTAAGAAATATTTATTACATGTTGAAATAATATTTTGGCTATGTTGATTTAGATAAAATATACTATTAATTTTACCCATTTCTTTTAACTTTTAAAATGATTTGTAGAAAAGTTAAAAATGTATATGTGGCTTACATTACATTTCTATTGGACAGCGTTAATATACAAAGTCAGATCTGGCTGGGCGGGGTGCCTTGTGCTTGTAATCCCAGTACTTTGGGAGGCTGAGGTGAGTGGGTCACTTGAGGGTTAGGAGTTTGAGGCCAGCCTAGCCAACATGGTAAAACCCCATCTCTACTAAAAATACAAAAATTAGCTGGGCATGGTGTCACCAGCAATTCCAGCTGCTGCGGAGGCTGAGGCAGGAGAATCGCTTGAACCCAGGAGGCAGAGGTTGCACTGAGCAGGCTGGAGTATAGTGGCATGATCTTGGCTCACTGCAACCTCTGCCTCCCGGGTTCAAACGATTCTCCTGCCTCAGGCTCCTGAGTAGCTGGGATTACAGGCGCCTACCACCACGCCCCGCTAATTTTTGCATTTTTAGTAGAGACAAGGTGAAACCCTTTTCACCATGTTGGCCAGGCTGGTCTCAAACTCCTGACCTCAGGTGATCCTCCTGCCTCAGCCTCCCAAAGTGCTGGGATTACCAGCGTGAGCCACTGCACCCAGCCTCACGTGTTCTTTACTATCTAGACTCAGATAGAATTGGATGTGCTCATTCTAACATATTAGTCTCCAACTGTGAAACACCAGGCAAAACAAGGATGAACACAATTTTGATTGTCAGAAAGTCCTTCTCTTCAAGTTCTATAATATGGAAGACTGCATCCTTTTACCTTGTCATGAGGTTGTCATGATCATATTCCTCGTCTAAAAAACAGGCATTCATAGAAATGCATGAGCCTTCCTCTCTCGTGGCTCCTTCCTCCACATGCATAATCCATCTTCATTTGGAACTTTCTTTCTGTTCACAGGAACTCACTTTACTTATTAGAAAGTGCTTCTTGAGGTCCTGTTGGGCATTTGTTTGAAGGGTCCCCAGGTAAAAGTACACTGGATGTACACTAACCGACTCTACTGTTTCGGTTGATTAGCCTCTCAGAAAAATAATGCCAATCCTTAAAAGACCAAAAGGAAACACGTGGTCCATCTATTCAAATCAAAACCATTGTGAGAAGTCAGGAGTCCTGCTGTCTCTCCTCAGCCCACACAAGGCTCTTTCTGCCTCTAGAACGGAAGTTCCAAGGGTAAACAAGGACAGGCTTTGAAGGTACAGCAGTAAAAGAAATTGTAAGTCATAATTACTTAGGTAGGCAGAATATCACATATACTTTTTTTTCTACTTTAGCTGTTTTAATGCAGAATCTTGTTACACTGAGATGTTATGGTTTTGCCTCAGATGATACTTTATCTGAATATATCTCTCTTTTCAGCTGCTTAAATTCAGCCCCAAAGAACCCTTTCTGCTCTCAGGGGCCATGTCTGTTTTGTTCCTTTTCCTTTTTGCCTGAAAGATAACCTATTACTATGGTTTTAAAAAAGTTCTCATAGATATTTTAAGTACTTTTTAGTTATATATAAAGTTTTCTTCACAGACATATGCAGATTTCAGAGTCACTGTCCAGAATATTAGAGCACTCAAGGGCTTGCCTTTGAAGCTTCCCACTTATCATCTGAAGGGCGAGATTTCCCTTGTGGATGAATTGGAGGAAATATAGATCAAGATTTTTGATTCTATTTAGAGAAAATTCTATTTTGAAAAAGTCAATGCAAGATGGGGAATTGGAGTGGGGTTAATGGCAAGGGCAGGCAAGGTGAAGCAGAGAGAGAAAGGAAAGAAAAGCAGAAAGAAAGTGGAGAGGAGAAAAGGAGGCGAAACAGGGAAAAGGGAGGTGGTGAGCTGTGGACTTTGAAATGAGAGGTAACCAGGAAAGGAGAGAGATTGAGAAAGCTGAGAAGGGAAAGGAAAGAGAAAGAGGAACTGAAAATGCAAAGGAGAAACAGAGAAAACCAGCAGAGAAGGAAAGAAACAGGGCAAAAAGCAAAGGGAGGGGTGGGGAAACTAGGGAGCAGAATCAGGCCTCCTAAGGTTTACATCCCTTCTCTAAAGCATGGGAGTTTATTTGAAATAAGGACTCACAAAGGTGAAATAATAACAATACCATAGAAGCATTTATTATCTCAATGTTGTTGCTAAAATAATGTACAGGCTTTTCCAATTATCAAATGGTTAACACTTGCTCCTTTTTTTGGATATATGCAATAGTTATGAACAGTTCCACATCACTTAAGAATGCAATGTCATATTTGGTTTCTTTTTTGCTTTAATTAGAAAAAGCTCAAGATGCTTCTCTTGTATCCTCCACCAGAAAAAAAAAAGAAAAGAAAAATGAAAAAAAAAAAAAAAAGGAGGAAAGGAAACCAGTATCAGTTGTTGTTTCAGAGTCTTCAAAGCTTTTAATTCCTGGACTCTTACAAAGCTCCTTTATTTTTCTAACTGGGTCACAGGTGGGAGCCCTGATCTTTGAGCTGTGGCTGCCACTCCTCTGGAGATTGCTTTTCCTTTCTGTCCTACCATGGTGGGTCAGAGGTCTGGTCACCTACCTTCCCCACCTGCTGCTCCCTGGCACTCCCAGGTTCTGTAGTCTGGGAGAGCATCCTCTGCAGAGCAGGTCAGCAGCTCTTGTCTGCTAAGCTCACTCAGGCCTGGAGCCAGCCACAGGCTCCCCACAGCACTTACCACATACCACCCCGGGGTTCTGAAGCCTTCCTGTCTCCTAGGATGCATCCATGTGTGGCATCCATGCGCCACCCTCAAATTCCCTGCAGCCTTTCTCCTTCAGGCTCCAGAGAGCCATCCAAAGGCCAGCTGCTTTCTTTTTGCCCTTCCTTCTTCCGATTAAATAGAACAAATCCCACTTCATACACATTTCTCCCTCCATGGAACCTGCTGGCTAATCAGCAAGTGCTTCGTTTCTTCGGGAGCCAGGCTTCAAACCCCAGAACCGCAAAAGAACCTGCCTGCTTGACTTACCTCGCTGGACAAGAGGGCTTAGTATTTTGGAATAAAATGCCTTGTAACTCTTCTGGGAGGGAGAAAATAACCTTTCCTTTATTCCAGATAAATATAGAGCAGTGGAAATACAAAGCAAAGTAATTATGTAATAGGTTAGCCTTCTATAGCATTTTTTTGCTAGTCAGTATACAAAATGTTTGATATAACGATTATTTAATGCTAAAAATTCTGCAAAGATATGTCCCACTAATTTCATTTTTTTTCTTTTAATCAAAGGGCTGAGATCTTGAGAGGTTAAATAGCTCGTTAGAGATCACACCAATAATAAATAATAGTCTGGATTGAAGCTCAGATCTGACCTCAGACCTTATACCAGTTGCACCACATCACATATTAAGATATAGTTAAGCTAGATAAAATCACTCCACTTGTTTGGAAGCCAAATCTTCCAAAGAACAATGGTAAAACAATAAGTAATCATAGGCATATACATTGGAGACAGCTACGTTTTCATATAAACTTATAAAAGATCAAATCTTAAGCCAATTAGAAATCTCTGAGAAATTATTTTGTATTAAAAACAAACTTTAGATTTCTTTAGAGAGAAAATAAGAGAAAACCCAAATGCTCAAAAAGAAAAAGGCTATAGATTTGGTGAAATAAACATTTAAAATAATAAAAAAAATTGCACAGTAACAAACACCTGAAAAAATAATCAGAATTTGAAACAAAAAGACAACAGAAGAAAATAGGTTTTGTGAAATTGGGTCCATGGAAATATATATCAATGTCTGAAGTAGCTTAGTCGAGAGACTCATATACATGCACATCAGACTACGAGCTTTAAATATTAGTAAAACTGCTTTTGTTTACTATATGGCAAAAAGACATTCTGCTATTTCCTGGGGTTCCAGACGGTTTACCTGGGAGCCATTTGTTAGTGTGGTCTTGACAAAAAGTAGAAATAGAATGAAACTGTTAATACGCAGTCATCAGTTCAACATCTCACTGCCACAGATGTTTCCTGCAAATAGTTTTTCTGCCAGCCCACTCCCTCCCTCCCTCCCCCACTCCCCTCTGTATCCACCATTTTTGTAAATCCGTGAATTAAGTACCTGTCCTCTATGGCACTTAGCACAGGTGTAGATTTACATTTATTTGTGTGATTATTTGATCGATAACGTCCTTCTCACTATATGTGAGCTCCACAATGGCAAGGATTTTATTTGGTTTTGTTTACAACTGTAGCTCTAACGCCTTTCATAGTCAGTGTCTAGCACAGGGGAGATAAGCAGCAAACATGTTTGTATTGAATAAATAGCCTAACGGTCCTGGAAAGCAGGCAACATGAGACTTTCGAGAATTTCACACATTTACAAGTGACTTTGGATGAAAGACTGGGAAATGAAGGTAGGAGCTGGAGGTAAAGGGTCATTTGACAAATACCATTTTGCAACTGACACCAGCTAACAAGAGGAATCCCAGCAGGTTCATACTGAAGTGCAATGATGCATGGATATACAAGTTAGATATACAGTCCTTAAACTTAAGCCTATGTGTCTGATAGAAATAAAATGCATTTTTTTTCAGCTGCCTTGCCCTTAACTTTTTTTTTTTTTTTTTTTTGCTTTGAGATTTTTCTGACAGGTCAGATCTACTTTTCCCCCAAAGAAAGATATTGAGAGACAGTCACAGGTCGTCCTCAGGTCCATGTGAATACAGTTCTGAAACTTCTTGGTAATTAAAACATTAAGTTAAAAACTAGGTCTTGTTTTAAAGCTAAGTTTTTAGCTTAGTTAAAAACACCCATGAGGATGTCCAGAAACAATTAGTCAAAGAATAACAAGTGTTGATGAGGGTGTAGAATAATCAAAACCCTCAGATGCTGCTGGTAGAAATGTAAAATAGCACAGCCATTTTGGAAAACTGACAGTTCCTCAAATGATTAAATAGTTACATGACTCTGCAATCCTACTCCCAGGTATATAGCCAATAGAAAAACATATATCCACAAAAAAGCTTGCATATAAATATTCATCGCAACATTATTTATGATAGCTAAAAGGTAAAAACAACCCAAATGTCCATCAGTGGCTTAATCGATAAACAAAATGTGGTATCAGTCATGGTTATCCAGAGAAACAAAACCAATAGAATATATAGACCTACTTAACAAGAGATTTATTATAGGAAATTACTTTGACAACCAAAATAACTGATTGAGGCATAAGTCTCAAATCAAGGTTTATTGAGCCTGTTTGAGGCATGCCTGGGAAAAACATGAGTCACAGAAACTTCTGTGGATGTTTTTCCCAAAGAAGTTCTTAGGAGGTTTAGTTGTTGTTTGTTTTTTTTTGTTTGTCTTGTTTTGTTTTTTGACAGAGTTTCGTTCTTGTTGCTCAGACTGGAATACATGGCCTCCGCCTCCCAGGTTCAAGCCATTCTCCTGCCTCAGCCTCCTGAGTAGCTGGGATTACAGGCATGAGCCACCACACCTGGCTAATTTTGTATTTTGAGTAGAGATGGGGTTTCTTCATGTTGGTCAGCGTGGTCTTGAACTCCCTACCTCAGGTGATCCACCTGCCTCTGGCCTCCCAAAGTGCTGAGATTACGGGTGTGAGCCACTGTGCCCAGCCCAGGAGGTTTAGTATTTATACATTTTCTTTAACAAGGGGAAGGCGGCAGTGAGACAAATGATTATATACTTGTGAGACTTTAGTTAGTACCCAGTAAATATCCATTTTACATAAGGTGAACATGTAAGAAAAGGAAGAGAGATAGCAGACATCTCAGAGTAGGGTGAAGGAATGATTTATCTCATTTTGTCTTTGTTCGGTACCTTGGAAGATAAACTAGTAGTCTTTTGAAAAGTCTGGTTTCTGTTTAGCCCTTAGGGAAGAAAATCTAATGACTGTGAGCGAGGGAAGGGATATTCCCTTTGTCTTGGCTGTGAATTCTGTTTCCAAGGTTTCTCTGGGGTTCCCTTGGCCAAGAGGGGATCCCTTCAGTCAGTTGGGGGGGATTCAGATTTTATTTCTTATACAATTGTGGAGGCCAAGAGGTCCTATAATCTGCTATCTGCAAGCTGGAGAACTAAGAAAGCCACTGGTGTTATTAGTCCTAGTCTGAAGGCCTAAGAACCAGAAGCACCAATGTCTAGGAGCAGAAGAAAATGGATGGCCCCACTCAAGCAGAGATCAAGTTCATCCTTCTTCCACCTGGTTCTATTCATGTGATCATCTGATTAATGATGACCACCTGTGCTGGTCCTGGTGGCTCACGCCTGTAATCCCAGCACTTTGGGAGGCTGAGGCGGGTGGATCATGAGGTCAG